>NC_000023.11:145687727-145990757 GCF_000001405.40 Homo sapiens
TTGATGCCATGACAGATTACATGGATGTGAGGTTAGAAATTTCAAGATAGATCAAGTTCAGGCAGATAAAGGAATGTATTTTTCCTCTGAGTTCAATGAGGCACACTGACACCAGCATACTGTACACAGTCTGAAATTGTCACACAAAACACTTAGTTTTTCACTAAACATGACTTATACACTGAAAACAGACTGATACCTGAAACTTAACACCAACAGGTTTTGTTTCTCAGTCTCAAAATTAGTGTGGCCTCTGGAATAGGTTAATGTGAGTGTGTGAGCATGTGTATGTGTGTACATATAAATGTGTGTGTGTACAGAAAAAAACACACTTTTACTGAAGAAAGTTTGTTTAATAAATAAAAGGGATTCACGGATGACCAGTTAGAAAAAAAAATATTGATTTAGAGCCTTTTCTCATACCATACATCAAATTTAGTTAAAGCAAAAATAAAGTAGAATAAAATGAAGGTGGTTATTGATCCAACCTCTGGATCTCAGAATGAAAAACATCTTGCACACTTAAAAGCAGTAGAGGCCGGGTGCGGTGGCTCACGCCTGTAATCTCAGCACTTTGGGAGGCCGAAGCGGGCAGATCACCTGAGGTCGGGAGTTCGAGACCAGCCTGACCAACATGGAGAAACCCCGTCTCTAATAAAAATACAAAATTAGCTGGGCTTGGTGGCGCATGCCTGTAATCCTAGCTACTCGGGAGGCTGAGGCAGGAGAATTGCTTGAACCCAGCAGGCGGAGGTTGCGGTGAGCCGAGATAGTGCCATTGCACTCCAGCCTGGGCAACAACAGCAAAACTCTGTCACAAAAAGAAAAAAAAAAAAGCAGTGCAAAAAAATGACAAAGTTTATGATTAGTAAATTTGACACCATAAGCATCTTATTTTATTATAAATTTTATTTTAGGTTCAGGGGTACATGTGCAGGTTTGTTGTATAGGTAAACTTTGAGTCACCGGCATTTCATGTGCAGATTATTTTGTCACCCAGGTAATAAGTGTAGTACCCAATAGTTATTTTTTCTGATCTCCCTCATCCCACTCTTGACTGTTAAGTAGGCCTGGGGAACCCCTCTTTGTGTCCATGTGTTCTTGTTGTTTAGCTCCCACTTATAAGGAAGAATGTGTGATACTTGGTTTTCTCTTCCTACATTAGTTTGCTTAGGATGATGGCCTCCAGCTCCATCCATATTGCTGCAATGGACATGATCTCATTTTTTTATGGTTGCATAGTATTCCATGATGTATATGTATCACATTTTCTTTAGTCTACCATTGATGGGCATTTAGGTTGATTTCATGTTTTTGCTATTGTGAATGGTGCTGCAATGGACATAGGCATGCATGTGTCTTTATGGTAGAGTGATTTGTAGTCCCCTGGGTATATAACCAATAAGGAATTGCTGGGTCAAATGGTAGTTCTGTTTCAATTCTTTAAGGAAGAGCCACACTACTTTCCACAATGGCTAAACCAATTTACATTCCCACCAGGAGTGTGTAAGTGTTCTCTTTTCTCTGCAGCCTTGCCAGCATCTGTTGTTTTTAGTCTTTTTGATAATAGCCATTTGGACTGGTGTAAAATGGTATCTCATTGTAGCTTTGATTTGCGTTTCTTTAAATGATATGATTTGGAGCTCTGTCCCCACCAAATCTCATGTCAGATTGTAATCCCCAATGTTGAAGGTGGGGCCTGGTGGGAAATGATTGGAATATGGGGGAAGATTTGTCATGAGTGGTTTAGTACCAGCCTCTTGGTACTGGCCTCATGGTGGTGAGTGAATTATTGCGAGATCTGGGTACTTAAAAGTATGTGGTACTTCCCCTCTCCCTCTCTCTTTTGCTCCTGCTATTACTACCATGTGAATTTTCTGCTCCCGCTTTGCCTTCCGTCGTCATAAGTAAAAGCTCTCTGAGGCCTCCCCAGAAGGAGAGGCCACCATGCTTTACATAAAGCATGTACATCATCCTGCAGAACCATGAGCCAATTAAATCATTTTTCTTTATAAATTACCCAGTCTCAGGTAACTTTTTACAACAATGTGAGAATGGCATAATACACTAATGATTAGTGGTGTTGACCATTTTTTCGTATGCTTGTGGGCCACACGTACTTTTTTTTTTTTTTTTGAAAAGTCTCTATGTAATTTTCCCACTTTTTAATGAGGTTGTTCGTTTTTTGCTTGTAAATTTGTTTAAGTTCCTTATAGATTCTGGATATTAGACCTCTGTTAGATGTATAATTTGCAAATATGTCTTCCCATTCTATAGGTTGTCAGTTTGCTCTGTTGACAGTTTATTTTGCTGTACTACAGAAGCTCTTTAATTAGGTCACACTTGTCAATTTTTGTTTTCGTTGCAATTGGTTTTGGCGTTTTCATCATGAAATCTTGGCCAGATCCTATGTCCAGAATGGTATTGCCTAGATTATCTTCCAGGGATTTTATAGTTTTGGGTTTTACATTTAAGTCTTCAATCTATCTCGAGTTGATTTTTGTGTATGGCGTAAGGAAGAGGTCCAGTTTCGGTCTTCTGCATATGACTAGTCTGTTATCTCAGCACTATTTATTGAATAGGGAGTCCTTTCCCTATTGCTTATTTTTGTCAACTTTGTTGAAGACTAGATGGCTGTAGGTGTGCAGCATTTCTTCTAGGCTCTCTATTCTGTTCCATTGGTCTATGTGTCTGTTTTTGTACCAGTACCATGCTGCTTTGGTTACCGTAGCCCTGTAACAGAGTTTGGAGTTGGGTAACGTGATGCCTCCAGCTTTGTTCTTTTTGCTTAGGATTGCCTTGGCTATTCAGGCTCTTTTTTGGCTCTATATAAATTTTAAAATAGGTTTATCTAATTCTATGAAGAATGCCATTGGCAGTTTGATAGAAACAGCATTGAATGTGTAAATTGTCTTGTGCAGTATGGCCATTTTAACAACATTGATTCTTCTTATCCATGAACATGAAATGTTTTTCCATTTGTTTGTGTCATCTCTGATTTCGTGGAGCACTGTTTTCTTCCACCTCTCTGGTTAGCTGTGTTCCTAGGTATTTTATTTGTTTTATGGCAATTGTAAATGGGATTGCATTTCTGATTGTGCTCTCAGTTTGGATGTTGTTGGTATATAGGAATGCTACTGACTTTTGTGCATTGATTTTATATCCTGACACTTGGCTGAAGTTTTTTTTTATCAGATCAAGGAGCTTTTAGGCAGAGACTATGGGATTTTCTAGATATAGAATAATGTCATCTCAAACAGGGATATTTTAACTTCCTCTCTTCCTATTTGGATTCTTTTCATCTCTTTCTCTTCCCTGATTGCTCTGGCTAGGACTTCCAGTATTATGTTGAATAGGAATGGTGACAGACAGCATATTGTCTTGTTCCAGTTTTTAAGGGGAATTCGTCCAGCTTTTGCCCATTCGGTATGATGTTAGCTGTGGATTTGTCATAGATGGCTCTCATTATTTTGAAGTATGTTCCTTCAACACCTAGTTTATTGAGGTTTTTTAAACGTGATGTCATGTTGAATTTTATCGAAAGTATTTTCAGCATCTTTTGAGATAATCATGTGGTTTTTGGTTTTAGTTCAGTTTATGTGGTGAAATACATGTATTGGTTTGTGTATGTTGAACCAGCCTTGCATCCTGGGGATAATGCTTACTTGATTATGGTGGATTAACTTTTCGATGTGCTGCTGGATTCAGTTTGCTAGAATTTTTTGGGGGATTTTGTCACTGCGTTTTTGAGGATGTTCATCAAGGATATTGGCCTGAAATTTTCTGTTTTGTGGTGTGTCTGCCAAGTTTCAGTATCAGGATATGGCAGGTCTCGTAGAATGAGTCAATGAGGACATCCTCCTCCTCAATAGTTGCAGTAGGAAATGTATCAGCTCTTCTTCATATATCTGCTAGAATTTGGCTGCGAATCCGTCTGGTCCTGGGCTTTTTTTTTGGTTGGTAGGCTTTTTATTACTAATTCAATTTTAGAATTAAAATGTCTGTTGAAGCATTCAATTTCTTCCTGGTTCAGCCCTGGCAGGTTGTATGTGACTAGGAGTTTATTCATTTACTCAAGATTTTCTAGATTATGTACACAGAGGTGTTCATAGCAGTCTCTGAGGGATTTCTGTATTTCTGTGAGGTCAGTTTTAATGTCCCCTTTGCCATTTCTGATTGTGTTTATTTGGGTCTTCTCCCTTTTTTCTTTTATTAGTCTAGCTAGTGGTGTATCTATCTTATTAATTTTTTCAAAGAACTAAGTTCTGGATTCATTGATATTTTGCGTGGTTTTTCATGTCCCAATTTTCTTCAGTTCAGCTTTGATTTTGGTTATTTCTTATCTTCTGCTAGCTTTGGAATTGATTTGCTCTTGCTTCTCTAGTTTCTCTAGTTAGGTTATTAATTTGAGAATTTTCTAACTTTTTGATGTGGGTAATTAGTGCTATAAACTTCTCTCTTAACACTGCCTTAGCTGTGTTCCAGAAATTCTAGTATATTATATTGCTGTTCTTAATAGTTTTAAAGAAATTCTTGATTTCTGTCTTAATTTCAATATCTACCCAGAAGTCACTCAGAAGCAGGTTATTTAATTTTTATGTAATTGTATGGTTTTAAGCAATTTTCTTAGTGTTGACTTCTGCTTTTACAGCACTGTGGTCCGAGATTGTGGCTGGTATGATTTCTGCCTTTTTTACTTTGCTGAGGATTGTTTTATGTCTGATTATGTGGTCGATTTTAGAGTATGTGCCATGTGGCAATGAGAAGAATGTATATTCTGTCGTTTGGAAGTTGAGAGTTCTGTAGAGGTCTGTTAGGTCTATTTGGTTAAGTATGACCACATTTTTAAATGAAATATTATGATAATCCAATAATATAAACCAGATAAAAATGGAGCTGGGCTTATTGAAACAGCAAGCAACATGCAGTTCCATTAGCTTAGCCTTCTTCTTTTTCACCCCACAGTGGTTCCTGAATCAGATTTCCAAAAGTCCAGGACTTCGCAGGCATACTCTGAAAGCCATTGACCTAGGGTGTGGACTGTGAGAAGTCTGAGGTAGAATTTTTTCCCACTGAACTCTTTCATTGAAAGCATTAAGGAATTCAGAATACAATGATGCAAGATGCTCCATCTGTTTATGGCTTCGTTTCTTACCATATGCTGCCGCCACTCAGCAAAAACGCTGGGGAGGTGGAAGCTTGGCATTTGGTATGTAGATAGAAGAAAAGAAAGTACCTTCCAAGAAGGCAGTGAATGGGTGTGAGAGGGGAAATGGAAAAGAAATAAAGGGGAATGTCTTAAAAACTAAGGCAAGTTGTTGATTTTTTTAAAGAGGATGGAGTGGTCAAAAGGGTAAATATTGATGACAGTCTGATAGGATAGCAGCTGATTTGTGTTGGGCTGAGTTGAGAAGAAGAGGGGAAGAACTGGAAGCAGTGAGTATAAGCAACCTATCTGTAAGTCTGGCTGTACAGGGAAGAAGAGTGGGCATTAAGTGGATGCTTATTTTTCTTTCAATGAAAAAGAACTAAGCATGTATAACAGCTGAGGCAAATCACTTATTTGAGAGATAAAGGTTGAGAATAATAAAGAGAAGGAGCAAACAATAATTAAAGTTCCCTGAATACAAAGGTCTTGAAATAGTGGGAGATTATACTGTCTGAAGCTTGAGCTGGGTGTCTGGCCTCAGCTTGAAGGATATACAGGTCCCATATCATGACAAAAATGAAGGAAGATAAAAATGAGTAGAGTTCAGGTACAGGCAGACGTGCATATGATAGGTGGACACAGAAGTTCCCTTCTGTAACTTTCTGTTCCTTGGTAAAACAGGGAAAAAAAATTTCATCTACAAAACGTGATATAAGGCAGGGTTCAGATGTGAAAACAAATTTTGAAGTTGCCTTTGCGGATACAGGGAAATCAGATTGACCATAGAAATATGATATGTTTTTCACGAAGAATCGAGGGCCCACTTGAAGTTCATAATCATGAATTCATGTTTAAGTCATCTGCTCTGTTGAATCATAATTTTCAAAAAATTCAGCTGACTATTGGCACAGAGAAGTTAGCCAGTTGGATTAATGCGCGAGGTTGGGTTTTTGCAAAATATTGAGTTTTCCTTGGCAATGAAAAGACAAATAATGTAAGGCTTTTGGGGTATTGACAAAGATGTTATTGAAATGGTTAACTATGGAAATAGGTTGGTTAAAAGGGGAAGTTGAGAAAGGGGAGTATTGATTGATGAGAAGAAAATAGAGGGTAAGTACTTTGGGTATCCTAAAGAGATTAAATAACAGTTGTGCTACTAGTTGAACTATAAAACTGAAAGGACAGGTGGTTGTGTTAATAGAATGGGCTACTGGAATGAGAGATTTTGCAAGTGCAGCAGTTATGAATAATGATTAGGTCAAGGGTGTAGCTGCGGGAGGGCTAACTGAAAAAGCCTGGACTAGAGGGTCATTGGAACTAGGAGGCCAGGATATGTAGATTGGGCCATCCACATAGGCACTGACGTCATCTTAGGGTAATGGAGGGACTTTGGGTAGAGAGGAAAACTGTGAACCATGTGCCAAAGTCATGGATGAATGAGTAGGGTAGTTGATAGAAATTTGGAGAGGGAAATAATTTTAAAGCTGGATGACAGACCTTTCAAAACAGCACAGATATTTACCCGCAGCATAGAGGAATAATATTCTAGAAGAGGCCATGGAAAGCAGTAGTGACACCGTCACTACTTTCAGGTCCACTACTTGAGCAGTGATATAGCAAGAGTAATTGATGCTCAGGAGGTAGTGGAATCTGTTTGCACTTTTTTTCCCTATTCCATATTAGGATTTTGCCTAGAAAATAATAAATTCATAGTGAAACCAGAGTATGTTTATTCAATTTTTTGAAAACTCAGTGATTATAACTGAATACAAAATGGTAAGAAACGTTGTTTTGACCTATGCCATTTTGGCATCCCATAAACTGTATCTGGGAGCACATGTAGTTCCCTTTACTCTGCCACTTCATATAAGAAGTCTGCAGGGAAAGAAGTATCCTTTTCAGTTAAACAAGGAGGTGGAGGAAATGATAAGAAAGAAGTTGAAGTTGGCTCATTATGAAAAAGCAAAAAATCTGAACATCATCTGTCACTCTCAGTGAACTCCAGCATCAAATAAAGCATCAAGTTCTTTCAAATGTGTCTCCTAAATATATCTTGGAATAGTTCACTTCTGATCACCCTTACGGCTACCACTCTGCTTCAAGCCACCATTCTCTCTCATCTGTTCTATTGCAATAATTTTCTCATTAGCTTCTCTGTTTCCTTTCTAGTTCACCTCCAATCAACTTTCCATTCTGCAGCCAGAGAGATCCTTCTGAAATAAAAGTAGGTCATGCTGCTTCTCTCTCCTCAAATGATTCAAAATGAAAGGCCTTGTCCCAGTATTCCTTTACATACATGTACATCTCATGACCTAACTGTAATGAACTACTTGACCAAACATGCTAAACTTTTCTTATACTTGTGCTTATATTCCTCTCCTTGCTTGGAAGGCCTCTCTATAGTCCTTGCCTTCTGTGCTTGGCTACCTCCTGTTCTCCTTAAAGATTCAGGCCTGGGTAGTCCCTCCTTCAGGATGTTCTCCCTGACATGTTTACCCCAAAGGCAAAGTGAGAAGTTCTCATCCATTGTGCATTAATAGAGCCATGGGATTCTCTCTATCATAACACTTATTAAAGTATGTAATAGCCACCTATTTGCTTGCCTGTCTACCCAACATGCACAGAAGTTTCCAAATTGTAGACACTTAACAGTTCATTATATATGAATGAGCTTGGAGAGAAGAGTCTACCAGTTTTGGACTCGAGTTGGCTAACTTCATTCTTTCCCCAGAAGAAGTGGGGTGCTATGGTCTTTCCAATAGATGGTTGTTCAACCATTGCATTGCCCTCCATAGTACTCTTTGTCTCTCATACAATATCTTTACTTTGTGCAAATTATAGCCACCGAGCACACAGTCTGTCCTATAATGACTTCTAGCAAAATGCAATTTTCACAAGATGACGAGAGAGACTTAGCAAACTTACTATGCTACAACAGTATAAAGTCAGCATTTACTATATAAAGAATGTCCTGAGGAACACACACACATTTTCAGGAATAAGATTGGTTATGAAAGCCATTGATACATTTCAAATTCCCATGTATTTGATGTTTAAAATGTTTTTAATTTGAACCCAACTTAGACATAGAGAAAAGTATCAAAATTTATGGAGTTCCTTCATGTCTCTCACCCAGCTTCCCCTAATGTTAACCTGTTATATAGCCATAGTACAATGATCAAAACTAAGAAATTTACATTGTTTAATTTGGAAATTGTATCGTGACTTAGCTATCTCATCATCTGAAGCTTTCATTCTGTTGATGGGAAGGTGAGTTTTTGCAGCTCTAGTTGCAAAAAGAGAGAACTGGAGTAGGGGACTCTGCAGGGAAGTTCTATCCTGTCTACATTTAAAGAGATCAGACCTTGAACTAGAGTACACTTGCCTGCAAAAGGAACAACACTATCACTTTCTGAAGGGAAACTAACCTCTTATCTAAAAAGGAGAGAGATTTGGCTGAAAGAATGCTGGACTAGGGCACAGGGGGCCTGGGTTGAAGGCTCAGTTCTATCATCAGTTAATTCTGTGAGACTGTGCAAATCTCAGCATTTCCAGCATCCTCACTGAGCTCACTGACTTCTAAGATCTCTCCTAACTCCAAAGTTTAATAACAGAGTACCATGTAGTTGAAAGAGCAAGATTTAAAGCCAGTATCACATTAACATTTACATAAGAAGCCATACACTTGACTATATTGAACAATAAAGTAAGGAGATTACCTGTGTATCTGATTGGAAGAGAATTGCCAAGGGGAATAATTATATTTATTTTATGCCACTGAAATACTGTACTTCATGGTTCTCTGTTGTCTTTCCTCAATATTGACTTCTACTTTAATATTTGCCTGGTACAACAAAAGAAGCCCAAATATCCAGTTAGGATGCAGATGAAATGATATATGGAGCTCAATTTGGAAGAAAAGAACCAGTGAGGAAACAATCTTTAATGTTTGCAATAAAAGCAAACCGAGTTCAGAAATAAAAAGGAAATATAGGACAGCTTATAAATGTAATCACTGCTTTACCTCATCCACTTTCATTCTCTAAAACAAACCTAATCTGCAAATGCTATGTGGAGCCCTCCATCATTGAAGAGAGAGGAGTAGGTATAATGGGGTTGGGGAAATAGACAGTGAAGGGGGCAGGAGGACAGAGGATATTAGTTAAACTCCATTCAGTACACAGTATAGGTGAAAGCACTATGCTGAAAACAATAGCGTCTAAGTGAACAAAAATAAGTAAGGCAAAAGAATAGCACATAATGACAACATTTATTCAAAGAGTTTTCTCCTATGGACTGCTGGCAGTCCTCAACATCAACTGTTTGCAGAAGAGCAGTATGTTAGTTTGCAATGGCTGCTATAATAAAGATCCTCAAATTAGGTGACTTAAAACAACAGAAATACATTGTGCCACAGTTCTGCGGTAAAGAAGTCTAGAATCAACGTATCATCAGGGCCACGCTCTCTCTGAAGTCTTTAGGGTGGAATCTGTTCTGTGTCTTTCTCCTAGATTCTCGTGCTGTCAGCAGTCCTTGGCATTCCTTGACTTGCAGATATATGGCTCCAGCCTCTGCCTCGGTAGTCATATGGTGTTTTCCCTGTGTATTTCTTCTCCTCTTCTTATAACAGATGTCACTCTTGTTGGATTAGCACCCACGGAAGTTGAGTATAATCTCACCTTGAGTTTACTGTAAACACCCTACTTCCTAATAAGGTCACATTAACAGATACTGAAGATTGGAACTTCAACACCTCTTTCTGGGGAACAAAATTCAACCCACAACAAAGAGTTTCCCAATTTTCGAGTATGAAAACACTTTATCAATGCCCTCCCACAATGTTACTGACCTCTATCCACATAAACAGAGTTACAATATTAGTGTTTGTTGATTGAGAAAAAAAGGCATTGAGTCCAGATGCTGTGGCTCACACCTATAATCCCAGCACTTTGGGAGGCCGAAGCGGGCGGATCACCTGGGGTCAGGAGTTTGAGAACAGCCTGGCCAACATGGCAAAACCCTGTCTCTACTAAAAATACAAAAATTAGCTGGGTGTGGTGGCGTGCACCTGTAATCCCAGCTACCCAGGAGGCTGAGGCAGGAGAATTGCTGGAACCTGGGAGCAGAGGCTGCAGTGAGCCGAGATTGCGCCACTGCACTCCAGAGCCAGACTCCGTGAAGAAAAAAAAAAAAAAAAAAGCATTGATTTTTATGAACTTTTTCTAAATACCGTAATGCTTTCAAATACATTTGTATTTTATCTTTTTTTTTTTTTTTTAAATAATAATGGCACCCATCCACATTTGGAGACCAGTCATACATAGAGGTACAAGACAGTCATAGTCGACCACATGATGGTTTGAAAACTAATGCTTTTGAGTCTTGACTTAGCTCCAAAGGTGACACATGACCATGGGCAGGTTCCTTAACCAGTTTTTTCTAGGTCTTAGTTTCATCTATGCCTGAAAAAGGGATGTATTAGTTGACCTTTAAAATTTCACCCCTGACATTCTCATAAATTTATACGGGAAAAAACATCTTAGGCAAGAATATTTCAGAAGTTGTGTTTTTGCTAGATAAGTTAATGTCCATTTTCACAATCAAATTTCACCCCTGCTAAGACGATGTATCAGATTTGGTATTTGCCAATGTTCTTACAGAGCAATTTAAGATAACTCAGTCAGGTAAATAGTTCAGGGAAGTAAATGCTTCATATTTTTTTAAAGTTGTCCAGCTGAAAAGTTACAAACTCAGTTTGTCTGTAATTGATTTATCAATAACAAGGACAGACCTACCAAGGAATAAATACTTAATGAATCTCCAACTTATCATTCTTTCTGCAGTTACAGCCTTATAGCTAGTTGCTGCTTGAACTGAAAACTTCCTGGTTACACACCCGGAGTGCACATTACTAAAATACAGGGGTTTTTCATTTCCACAAGTTGCTACAAATGTGTGTGTTTTACATTCCTCACCAGAAATTTAAGCTCACCCAAAGTTTTCATATTCTGTAGGCTCTAATTAAGATGGAATATATCTTTAAACAATTAACTTCATGGCATAAACCCTTTGAGAAGCTATTAAAAGAAACTATTTTTCTTTCCTTTTCTTTTCTTTTTTTTTTTTTTTTGAGACGTAGTCTCGCTCTGTTGCCAGGCTGGAGTGCAGTGGCGCGATCTCGGCTCACTGCAACCTCCGCCTCCCAGGTTCAACCGATTCTCCGGCCTCATTCTCCCGAGTAGCTGGGACTACAGGCACCTGCCACCACGCCCGGCTAATTTTGGTATTTTCAGTAGAGACGGGGTTTCACCATGTTGGCCAGGATGGTCTCAATCTCTTAACCTCATGATCCACCCACCTCAGCCTCCCAAAGTGCTTGGATTATAGGCACGAGCCACCGCGCCCGGCCAAGACACCATTTTACAAAGGCACTGTTGGTATTGGAGATATATATCTGGCTGGGGATATATATTCCTGGGATCATCATTGAATCCCTCTTCTCCCCTCCATCTGCCTCATCTAATCAATACCAACAGATTCTACCTCTTGGTTCTTTCCCAGATTCACCCAGTCTTGTACACGCCATTGCTATAATGATGTTCAGACCATTATCCTTCCTCATTTAGATTCATGCAAGGCACTGGAACTTCTATTTGGTGTTCCTGATATTTGTTGTTGCTGTTGTTGATACTTCATGGTTGTCCATATTTCTGGGGTACATGTGATATTCGATACACGTATAGACTGTGTAATGATCAAATCAGGGTAACTGGGATATCATCATGACACCCACTACCATCTCCTACAATCCATTCTCTGTACATTAACTTAAATCATCTTCTTAAAATAGAAATCTGATGATGCTATTCCCTTTCAATGGTTTTTTCATTGCTGCTGGTAAAGTCTGAGTCCTTCTCCCATACATACAATATACTATATTATTTGGCCCATGCCTCCTGCCTCAACTTCATTTTCTGATCTCCTCCACTCCCTTCATGACATTCAATATTCCAGTTGCATTGAGTTCCTTACAATCTACTAAACAGGACTTTTTCTCTCTTCCCTCCAAGTCTGTTTTCATGAGCCTTGCTCTGTCCAGAATGCCCTTCTGTCCTCCTTCCCATTCTTTATCAAGTTCCTCTCACCCTTGAAGACTAGGCTAAGGCATTCCTTCTTGATAGTCTTTCTTGAACTACCCATCCCCTTTCCCCAAACATTGAGATTACCCATACCATGACACTGATTGTAAGTATAAGATTCTGTTGCTCTCTTCATCACCTTTCTACACCTCCTGAAGAGCAGAGAATACTTACCCGAATAAGTTAATTCCCATGATATCTGTCTGTCCATGTTTACCATTTGATGGGGTCACTGGGCATTGAAAGATCAAACTCACATGCACAGCTCTCTCTTCTGGTTCCTGTCTCTTGCAACAGGATGAGTCAGAAAACAGGCCTCCACTTTGATTTTTTTTTTTTTTGATGCTTTCTTCTCACTACATAAGAAAGCCTAAGGGTAAGTTAAACATCATGTTCCCTCTTCTTCTAGTTGCTTTAGTTTCTTCTGGACTGTGACCTTCACAATTGTTTTTTACCTTTTTTTTTTCCTCCCTGTAGGTAATCCAGAAAGGCTGGAGGTAGCTAGCGTCAAGTAAATGTGCTTTCACAGATGAACTAAGCTTCTGGCAAAGTCTTTCCCTTGAAGAGTAAACTTATTTACAGAGAATATTCTGGGATTATTTCACAAAGGTTATTCTTTCCCTCTCTGTGCCAGAATCAGGAGGAGGTATTTGTTGGCTCTTCTTTGTGATTATCTGATAGGGGGTTCCCCAAAAAGGGATGGGGCCCTACTTAAAAATGCCACCCTATCAGTTTCTCACCCTCAAGCCAGACCACACTTAGCCTCCAAAAGTTCTTCATAATTCTCATGTCTGTTTCTACCAGTATATGGTTTCTGTGGCTTCTACTTAAAGCAAGAAGATATTGGCTAGAATCCATTATATTTGCCTGCCTCTGCAGTTTTCAGGATGGTATTTGCCCTGTAACCTCAGTTATTTGATTGATCCAAGAAAAGGTGATTTTCAGTGTATTCAGAAGTAATTTTACTACGATGACAGGAATGATAATTTCCAAGTTCTTTAAATGTCATATCTACTTCTGTTCATCTATAGCATTTACCACCTGCTGATACACTATGTCATTTATTTATTTATGTTTATTACCTGTTCCTCATGCTAAACACAATTGCTGGGGAGGCCAATTAGTGTATGTTTACTGTCCTAAACAAGAACCCAAAACAGGGCCTTACCTCTTTATATATGTGTTTCAATTAACATAATGGAATAATTATTCATTTATAATGTGTTCTGGTGGGGGTGAAGGATGGGTCCTGAAGAAAAGTAATATTGGTCCTGGTGCGGTGGCTCATGCCTGGAATCCCACCAATTTGGGAGGCCGAGGCGGGTGGATCACTTGAGGTCAGGAGTTTGAGAGCAGCCTGGCCAACTTGGCTAAACCCTATCTCTACTAAAAATACAAGAAAAGAAAATTAACTGGGTGTGGTGGTGCACAGCTGTAATTCCAGCTACTTTGGGAGACTGAGGCACAAGAATTGCTTGAACCCGGGATGCAGAAGTTGCTGTGAGCTGAGATTGAGCCACTGCACTCTAGCCTGGGTGATGAAGTGAGACTCTGTCGAAAAAAAAAAAAAAAAAAAGAAGAAAGAAAGAGAGAGAGAGAGAAAGAAACAAAGAAAGAAAGAAAATTAATATTGAGGTTCAGCCAGGTTAATGATCTAAGAACCACTATAGGCTACATCATGGGCCATAAAACATACCTTAACTAATGCTAAAGAACAGAAATTGTACAAAATATATTATCAGATAACAATGGAATTTAACCAGATATCAATAGCAGAAAAATAGATGGAAAATCTTCATATATTTGGAAAGTAACATTTTTCTAAATGATACATGCATCAAAGAAGTCTCAAGTGAAATGAAAAATTATTTGAACTAAATGAAAATTAAACTGCAACTCTATGAAATGTAGTGGATGCAGTGAAAGCTGTCCTCAGAGGGAGATTTGCAGCATTGAATACGTGTATTAGAAAATGAGAAATCTAAAATCGGTAAAGAAAGAAGAGCAATTTTAGCCTCAAGCAAGCAGTATACAAGAAATGGCCCAAATTAGAGAAGAAATCAATAAAATAGAAAACAGAAATCAATAATTAAAATCAACAAAACCCAAAGCTGGTTCTTTATAAAGACCAATTCAACAAATAAAACCATAACCAGGCTAACCAATAAAAAGTGAGAGAAGAGCTGGGTGCAGTGGCTAACGCCTGTAATCCCAGCACTTTGGGAGGCCAAGGCTGGCAGATCACCTGAGGTCAGGAGTGCAACAACAGCCTGGCCAACATGGCAAAACCCCGTCTCTACTAAAAATACAAAAAAAATTAGCCGGGTGTGGTGGCGCGCTCCTGTAGTCCCAGCTCCTCGGCCAGCTGAGGCACCAGCATCGCTTGAACCCGGGAGGCAGAGGTTGCAGTGAGCTGAGACCCTGCCACCGCACTCCAGCCTGGGGCGACAGAGAGAGATTCCGTCTCAAAAAAAAAAAAAAAAAGAAAGAAAGAAAAGAAAAAAGAAAAAAAAAAGACAGAGAGAAGAAACAAGTTACTAGTATTATAAATGTTATAAATGAAAGAGGCATCATTATTACTAATCCCATCATACTACAAACAATTCTATCCTCACACATTTAATACAAATATGAAATAGACAAATTCTTTGAAATACATAAACTATCAAAACCCATAAAGAAGACACAGAAAATCTGACTAGGTCTGTATTTATAAAAGCAACTGAGTCAATAATTAATAAACTTCCAAAAAAGAAAGCTCCAGACCCAAATGTTCTCACTGGTGAAGTCTACCAAACATTTAAGCAAAAAAACTAACTAAAAAAAATAAATGAAAAAAAAATCTTCACTATTTCTTCCAGAAAATAGAATCAGAGGTAAAAATTACTAATTCATTTTATGCAGCATTTCACTAATACCAAATTCATATAAAGATATTGCAAAAAAGAAAAACCATGGACAAATACTTCTCAGGAGCATAGATGTAAAAATTCTCAAAAAAATCATCAAATTGAATCCAAGGCTATATAAAAATAATTATATATTATGAGAAGTTGGGATTTATTCCAGGTAAGCAAAGTTGGTTCAACATGCGAAAATCAATTAATGTGATCCACTATATCAATACACTTAAGAATAAAACCATATGGTCATTCAGTTGTAACCTAAGCAGCATTTGAGAAGAATCTAACACACATTCAACATAAAAACTCTCGGCAAACTGTAAACAGAGGAGATTTTCCTTAACATGATAAAGAACCATGAAAGCCGGAAGTTAACATTATACTTAATGGTAAGAAATTGGACACTTTTTCCTGAAGACTGGGAACAAAGCAGGAATGTTCCTTCTCACCACTCCTATTGAAAATCATACTGGAAGTATTAGTAAGTGCAATAATACAAGGAAAGGAAATAAAATGTATATAGCATGGGAATGAATTTGCAGATAACATAACTGTCCATGTAGAAAATTCCAAATATCAACAAAAACTCCTGCAACTAATAACTAAACATAAGAAAGTCACAGATATAATATTAATATATAAATACATATTGTTTTCTTTTATATGACCCCCAAACATAAAGAATTTGAAATTAAAATGTAATATCATTTACATTAGCATCAAAAAATGAAATACTTAGGTATAAATCTAACAAAATATATTCCATATCTATGTGGTGAAAACTATAAAACTCTGATGAAAGAAGTGAAAGAATATCTAAACAAATGGAGAGATAGTCTGTGTCCTTGGATTGCAGGACTCAATACAGTCAATATGTCAATTATTCCCAACTTGATTTACATAGATGCAAAATCAATCAAATGTATGGCAAGCTATTTTGTGGGAATAGACAAACTGATTCTAAAATTTATATGGAAAGGAAAAAGACCCAGAAAAGCCAAGAAACACTGCATCTGAACAACCAAGTTGGCAGGCTGACACTAACCAACTTCATGACTTATTATAAAGATATAGTAAACAAGGCAAAGTGGTATCACCCAAAGAATACATAGATGAAGAGAACAGAATAAAGAGTGCAGGAATGGACTCACTCAAATACAGCTAACTGATCTTTGACAAAAGAATAAAGGAAAGAAAAGAGTAAAAATACCCTTTAAATAAATTGTACACCCATATGTGAAAAATAAATAAACAAACCTAGACACAGTCTATGAAGCTTTCATAAAAATTGATTCATAATGTATCACTGACGTAGATATAAAATGGAAACAATAAAATTTCTATAAGAAAACTAGGGGGAAAATGTAGGTTACCTTAGGTTTGGCAATGAGTTTTTATATTCAACATAAAAAGGACAATCCACAAAAAAAAAAAGTAAGTTGAGCTTTATGAAAGCTTAAAACCTCTTCTTTGCAAAAGATGCTTTTAAGAGAATGGAAAGACAAGCCACAACTGGTAGAATATATTTGCAAAACACACATTTAATAAACATTTTGAATCCAAAATAGACAAAGAACTCTTAAAACTCAATAAGTTAGATAAAAACCTAATTTAAAAATGAGCAAGCAATGCAATAAAAGAGGATACAAACAAATGGAAGAACATTCCATGCTCATGGGTAGGAAGAATCAATATCGTGAAAATGGCCATATTGCCCAAGGTAGTTTATAGATTCAATGCCATCCCCATCAAGCTACCAATGACTTTCTTCACAGAATTGGAAAAAACTACTTTAAAGTTCATATGGAACCAAAAAAGAGCCCACATTGCCAAGTCAATCCTAAGCCAAAAGAACAAAGCTGGAGGCATCACGCTACCTGACTTCAAACTATACTACAAGGCTACAGTAACCAAAACAGCATGGTACTGGTACCAAAACAGATTTATAGACCAATGGAACAGAACAGAGCCCTCAGAAATAATGCCGCATATCTACAACCATCTGATCTTTGACAAACCTGACAAAACAAGAAATGGGGAAACAATCCCCTATTTAATAAATGGTGCTGGGAAAACTGGCTAGCCATATGTAGAAGGCTGAAACTGGATCCCTTCCTTACACATTATACAAAAATTAATTCAAGACGGATTAAAGACTTACATGTTAGACCTAAAACCATAAAAACCCTAGAAGAAAACCTAGGCAATACCATTCAGGACATAGGCATGGGCAAGGACTTCATGTCTAAAACACCAGAAGCAATGGCAACAAAAGCCAAAATTGACAAATGGGATCTAATTAAACTAAAGAGCTTCTGCACAGCAAAAGAAACCACCATCAGAGTGAACAGGCAACCTACAGAATGGGAGAAAATTTTCGCAACCTACTCATCTGACAAAGGGCTATTATCCAGAATCTACAATGAACTCAAACAAATTTACAAGAAAAAAACAAACAACCCCTTCAAAAAGTGGGTGAAGGATATGAACAGACACTTCTCAAAAGAAGACATTTATGCAGCCAAAAAACACATGAAAAAAATGCTCATCATCACTGGCCATCAGAGAAATGCAAATCAAAACCACAATGAGATACCATCTCACACCAGTTAGAATGGCAATCATTAAAAAGTCAGGAAACAACAGGTGCTGGAGAGGATGTGGAGAAATAGGAACACTTTTACACTGTTGGTGGGACTGTAAACTAGTTCAACCATTGTGGAAGTCGGTGTGGCGATTCCTCAGGGATCTAGAACTAGAAATACCATTTGACCCAGCCATCCCATTACTGGGTATATACCCAAAGGATTAGAAAGCATGCTGCTATAAAGACACATGCACACGTATGTTTATTGCAGCACTATTCACAATAGCAAAGACTTGGAACCAACCCAAATGTCCAACAATGATAGGCTGAATTAAGAAAATGTGACACATATACACCATGGAATACTATGCAGCCATAAAAAATGATGAGTTCATGTCCTTTGTAGGGACATGGATGAAGCTGGAAACCATCATTCTCAGCAAACTATCACAAGGACAAAAAACCAAACACGGCATGTTCTCGCTCATAGGTGGGAATTGAACAATGAGAACACATGGACACAGGACGGGGAACATCACACTCTGGGGACTGTTGTGGGGTGGGGGGAGGGGGGAGGGATAGCATTAGGAGATATCCCTAATGCTAAATGACGAGTTAATGGGTGCAGCACACCAACATGGCACATGTATACATATGTAACTAACCTGCACATTGTGCACATGTACCCTAAAAATTAAAGTATAATAAAAAAAATGAGCAAGACTTCTGAACACAAACCCTCAGATATACAAATAGCAAATAATCATATAAAAATGCTCAATGTCATTTTCCATTAGGTAATTGTAAACTAAAGCAACAATAAGTATCATCACATCCTTATCAGAATAAATAAACAAAATATTAAAAGTAAAAAAAAAGATGCTAAATGCTGATGAGGATTAAGAGCCACTGGAACTCTCGCTCATTGCTGTTGATAAAGCAAAATGGTTTAACAATGTTGGATAAAATCTGGCAGATTCTTACAAAGCTAAACATAGACTTAGCACAAAAATCACACTTCTATGTATTTACCCAGCTAATTTTAAAACTTACACCCGTGCCAGAAATTGCACACAAGTGTTTATAATGGCTTTATTTGTAGTCACCAAAATGTGAACACAACCAAGTTGATCTTCAATAGGTGAATGGTTAAACATTTGTAGTACATCCATACAATGGAATACTATTTTGTATTACAAAATGAGCTATCAAACCACAAAAAGACATGGATGAATCTCAAATCTATATTGCTAAGTTAAAGAAACCTATCTGAAAAAGCATCATGCTGTATAATTCCAAATATATGGCATTCTGTAAAAGGGAAAATTCTAGATACAACAAAAGGTTGAGCTGCTGTCAAAACTCAGAGCTGGGGAAGAGATGATGGAACAGATGAAGCATAGGGAATTTTTAGGGAGGTGAACTTTTGATTTAATACTGTACTGGCGGATACATGAAATTATGCATTTGTCAAAACCCATACAAGTTTACAGTTGAAATAATGATTCTTAATGTAGGCAAGTTTAAAAAAAATAAGTGGTCAAGTGTCCCAGGATGTAATGCAGAATGTGAGAGGAGAATTTCATTGCATTACAAATGTATGAAATAACCTCACTGACATGCATAGAGGAAGTAGGCATATTGACCTAATTAACTTTGAAAATGAGTGTAGTCTTGAATACCAAAGCCAAATTAAACTACACATAAACACTGTACTCTAATTGATAAGATTGTTTCCAACAGGGATATGGATTAACAATTCTGAAAACACTATAAAAGAATACTGAAATTGAGCAATTAAATAGATGGCAGATGATGGGTGCCAGGTTTCTCAGTGTTGCAGTAGGAGTATGAAGATAAGCAAGAGGAAGACCTAGAATAAATATGTGGTAGTAGATTACAATTGAAAACATCAGTGTGAACTCATGTTTAACTTAATAAAGACATAGATGGTTACATATAGAAACAGCTATAAGGATACAAATGGGTTAGTATACACACATACACATATGGAGTAACACTTATGCAAAATGCTTGGGACCAAAGGGTTTCAACGTTTAGAGTTTTTCAGATTTTGGAATATCTACATTATACTTACCAGTTGAGCATCTTTAATCTAAAAATTCAAAATCTAAAATGCACAAATGAGCATTTCCTTTGAGTGTCACGTTGGCACTCAAAAAGTTTCAGATCTTTGAGCGTATGGAATTTTGGATTTTTGGATTAGAGATCCTCAACCTATATTTCCTTGTTCTGTTAGCTAAGATGGCTCCAAAGTAATGACAACATCAATGAGCACACCTAGTGCCCAGATCTTGGTTTCTAATACCATTTGCAAATAAAAGGAACCAGGGCTCATTGAAGAAATAGCTGACTGTGGGCCCGGGGCAAGAAGCATACAAGAGGATGAGGAATCTTTTAGCAGAAAGTAATAAAATGTTAAAGAAACAAAAACCTACAAAGGATAGGATATGTCAATGGGGATAGGAGCCAAATATAAGAGCTCCTGTTCCCCAAACCTAGAAAAGTTTGAACAACAAAATAGAGCATCATTAATAGAGAGAGATATATATAGCCATATATATATAAATAAATATATAAATATATATAAATAAATATATAAATATATAAATAAATATATATATAAATATATATATAGCCATATATATAAATATATATATAGCCATATATATATAAATATATATAGCCATATATAAATATATATATGGCTATATATATATTTGGCTATAGTTTACATATATACTATATATACTGTATATACTATAGTATATAGTATACATATATATGTGTGTGTGTATATATATATATATTTGGCTATAGTTTAATGATGCTCTATTTTGTTGCTCAAATTTTTCTAGGTTTGGTGAACAGGAGCTCTTATATTTGGCTCCTATCCCAATTCGACATATCCTATCCTTTGTAGGTTTTTATTTCCTTAAATATATATATATTTCCTTAAATATATTATTTCCTTAAATATATATATATATATATATAGATCAGGCCATAGTGATATAAATATACAACTGAATAAAAAATAAGTTAGATTTGGTAGAAAACCTAAAATTAAAATCAACGAGGGAGAACAGGCAAATCTCCTGTACATAAACATTCCAAACAATTCGTGTGGACACTCTGCTCTCAAGGAGATCTCGCATAACTTCCCACTCCTTGAGTGTGGATTCTGCATAGTAACTTCCTTCCAGAGTACAGTATAAAAAGGTGGGGGAAGGAATAATTTTATAGTGGAGAAATCTGACAAATACAATCTCAGCCAAGTAATCAAAGTCAATGTCAACAGTGATAAGTCATGTTGATAGTTTTTACCCTTGCTATCATGTGATAAGAATGACACTTACCTTAGTCAGTTTGAGCTGCTATGACAAAATACTATAGACTGGGTGGCTTTTGAACAACTAAAATTTATTTATCACAGTTGTAGAGGCCAAAAGTCTGAAATAGGGGTGCCAGCATATTTGAGTTCTTGTGAGGGCCCTCTTCTGGGTTGCAGATGGTAAACTTTATTTTTACTTTTATTTTTATTTCTGGGGTACACATGCAGGATGTGCAGGTTTGTTACACAGGGAAACGTGTGCCATGGTGGTTTGCTGCACCTATCAACCATCACCTAGGTATTGAGCCCAGAATGCATTAGCTATTTTTCCTAATGCTCTTCCTCCCCTACCCCACCAGCCAACAGGCCTCAGTATGTGTTGTTTCCCTCCCTGTGTCCATGTGTTCTCACTGATTGTTCAGCTCCCACTTATAAGTGAGAACATGTGGTGTTTTGTTTTCTGTTCGTGCGTTAGTTTGCTGAGGATAATGGCTTCCAGCTCCATCCACGTCCCCGCAAAAAACATGATCCCATTCTTTTTTGTATTTATTTATTTTTTTGAGACAGAGTCTCACTCTGTTGCCCAGGTTTGAGTGCAGTGGAGTGATCTCAGCTCAGTGGAACCTCTGCCTCCCGGGTTCAAGCAATTCTCCTGCCTCAGCCTCCCGAGTAGCTGGGATTACAGGTGTGCGCCACCATACTCGGCTAATTTTTTGTATTTTTAGTAGAGATGGGGTTTCACCATGCTGGCCAGGTTGGTCTTGAACTCCTGACTTCATGATCCACCCGCCTCAGCCTCCCAAAGTGCTAGGATTACAGGTGTGAGCCACCGTGCCTGGCTTGATCTCATTCCTTTTTATGGCTGCATAGTATTCCATAGAAGCTGTGAAATAAGTGGGTATTGTTTCAAGCCACTATCTTTGTGGTAATTTGTCCAGCAGTAGTAGATTACTAATACAGAATTTGAGAGGCGTATCTATGCAGCTACCTAGGGAGAAATGCAGAAAACAGCAGGAGAGTAACATGACCTGATGTAGACTGTAACAGGGTCACTTTGGTCGCTGTATTGAAGACAGACTGAAGGTGGCAAGGTCAGAGGAGCCTGGAGAGCAGGTGAGAGGATGTTGCAGTAGACCAGTTGAGAGATTATTTTGGTCTGGGCTAGGGTGGTGGTCGTGGAGGTGACAGAAAGGAGTCAGATTCTGGACTTATTTTGAAGGCAGTGCCAAAAGAGTTTCTTGACAGACAGAGTGAAAGTGGGATATGAGAAAGGGAGGAGTCAAGAATGACTCCAAGGTTTATAAACTGAGTAACAAAAGAATGGAGCTGACATTTACTGAAATGGAGAATCAAGTAAACCCTGGGCTGGAGCCCCTCCTCATTGCATTTTCCTCCCATGAATTGTGACCTAATTCTAAGAGTTACATTTTAAAGTGAAAGTGCCCCAGGCAAAAATAACTATAGTAATAGAACATTTGATGACATTTATTGAACTCCTACATGCCACACACTATTCTAAGTGTTTTATATATCTCATTTAATTATCTTAACAGTCCTATACAGAGGTACTCTTAACTGCTAAATTTTAAAAATGAAAATATTAAGGATAAGAGAGGTTATACTTGCCTCCAGGTCCACAGACTGTTAAGTTGTGGAGCATAATGTTTATGAACACACAAATACAAGTTCTAGAATCAGAGAAACTGTACTCAAAACTTAGTTCTAGGCCAGGCACGGTGGCTCACGCCTGTAATCCCAGTACTCTGGGAGGCTGAGGCGGGCAGATCACGAGGTCAGCAGTTCAAGACCAGCCTGGCCAACATAGTGAAACCCCAATTCTTAAAAATCCAAAAAAATTCAGCTGGGTGTGGTGGCGGGTGCCTGTAGTCCCAGCTACTTGGGAGGCTGAGGCAGGAGAATCGCTTGAACCAGGGAGGCAGAGGTTGCATTGAGCCAAGATCGCACCACTACACTCCAGCCTGGGCAACAGAGCGAGACCCTGTCTAAAAAAAAAAAAATCTTAGTTCTAGTTTTTACTATCCATGTGATCTTGAATATGCTATTTAATGTCTCTGAGCCTGAATTTCCCAATAATAGTAAGTGAACTGGGACCTTTTGCATGTGTTAGTTTATTTAACCCTTAAAATGATCCAGTGAGGCAGAGTGCATCACCAGATACAGAGTCTAATGATTAGATCAGTGAAACAGCCTGCCTGGGCCATCCACCCCTGGGTGTTTGTGCGATGGTCCCCAGGGAGAATATGTGAATGGATTGGTGCCAATGCACTTCGCATACTCTGCTGATGGCGAGATGTTGGCATTTCTACGGAGACAGCTATTTTGACAGCAATGCTGATTAAACAATTCTACTGACTAGAAATAGTGTAGACATTTTATTAATCAAAACTACTGCTCTGAGTTTTGTTAAACTGGTTGCTATTTAAGTTTCTGGAATAATAACAGGAGCTGCTAACTGTTGAGTGTTTCCTATATGCAGGACGTGGCAATAAATGTCTTATTTTGTATATGCTAATAGATATAGTCTTCACAGCCTTGTCACACAAAGATTCACATTTTCTTGTTTTATAGATAAGGAAAGTGAGACATGCAAAGTAGCTTATTATCATTAAATAACTAGTATATGACCCATCTGGGCTGACTTCAGATCTGATGCCCTTAACCACTGTAATTTTGAGATTGACCACTTACTATGAGCTAAGTGATATGGCAAATTCATGATATCTTCCTGTTATTTAAATAAGGCAGAGATGGTTCCTGTTTATTTGCTGAAAATAGCCCCATGTTGTTTATTTCTTACACATCTTTAAATTGCTTTAAATATAGCCCAACATAAACATATTTTTAACCATTTAGAGCCTACTTACTCTACATATCCTCATAAAATTACACCCAACGTCTGCTAACCATAGGTAAGACAAATATTGTAGCTATAAAGATCCCAAACCACTGCTCTTCTTCAGAGCTCTTTGATTGAGAGACTATGGTGCTGCTGAGCAACATCACCGAGTAAATAACCCCCCTCTTCAACTTGCCTCACCCCCTGAGTATCCTTTGATTTATTCCTCTACAGAGTGGTGGCCCATGACTTTATCTCTGGAAGGTCTCCTGCTGGGAGTGACTTCCCGTCCCATGTCCCATGCAATCTTATTCACATGCTGCCCAGTAAAGATTGTGTGCCTCTCATGATCCTGTCTCTGTCTTAGTAAGCCCAGAAATACTTGAACTCACTACATTTTCTCATCAGGACTAAATCATAGGCCTTCATTAATTTACTTTGTGTTTGTGTTGTAACATCTTTATTTGTGGTATAATTTACATACCATAAAATTTATTCATTTTATGTGTCCAATTCAACAATTTTTAGTACATTTTCAGAGCTGTGCAAATATCACCACAATCCAACTTTAAAACAATTCCATCCTCCAAAAAGAAACTCATGCCCATTTACAGTAACACCTGTTCCCATCCCCAACCCCAGGCAACCAACTAATCTACTTTCTGACTCTGTAGATTTGCCTATACACTTTCTGTAACATTTTATCAAGACAAAAAGCTGATTTTGACCCAGATGAACCAATTTTTAGTTATATAGTTACTTTAGACATGTCTAAATGATATTTTAGCAAGTTCATAAAGGCTCTAAAAGTCTGTGGTAAATATATATGTGTGTGTGTGTATCCATCACAGATGTAATGTAACTCCCTTAAAGACTATAACACTTTTGCATCCGTTCATTCATCTGAGCCAAACAATATCATGAGGAAGGCAGAATTCTATGGTAGCGTTAATAGGACATGCGCTCTGCAATCAGAGCTGAGTTCTATTTAAGCTCCATGGGAATATAGACTATGTCCATCAGGTTCACCATTATGCCCTCAATATTTAGCTGAATGCCTGGAACATAAGAGAACCTCGGTAACTGTTAGGAGGGTTAAAAAAGGAACGAAAGAAAATAAAAAATGAACTCTGCGACTCCCCAGCAAGCTGCAATGTAAATTTCACTTCACTGAGCCTCTAGCATCTCCAAAAGGGGGAAAATATCCATCTCCTAGAGTTGGGAGGATTGAATGAGATGATGTTTGTTAAGTGCTTGACACACAGATAAGGGTAGTGAGGGGCAGAGGAGTTTAGTTACTTGTCCAATGGTATATGTCGTGCACTGTAGTGGTGGAAGAAGGGCTCAAATTTAGACCTGCCTTTCTGCCTACCTGAGAAAGCCCTTAAGCAGTAATTTAGAGAACGTTTTGACAGACAGCTGAAATGAGCACAGATCATTGTGACTATGTGCTACATTATTACAGAGGTGCAGTGATGGTGGAATTAAATGATCCTACAATGTCATTTTTCTTCTCGGTAATAGTGGTAGAAAAATCCCTTAGTGCAGGCCTATGTGATTTCAGAGTCCATCCTTTATAGTAAATGCCTTACCTTACCTATTCCTTATCTCCAGTCCATAAAATGGTGTTTGATCACTTTAAATCCTCTTCTCTGCTTGGCTTTGATTGCAAAATGTGGTCAGGTTAATTGGTACAATTAAAGTGTTCCTGGGGGATAATTACCCCTTTTACTTTCTATGTGTGAAGAAGGAGGATGACTGGTCCCAAAAATGGGATCCCTGTGGCACACTGAAAAGGAGAATTAAATACACAGTGAGATGAAGCCCAGAAAGCATTTTCTCTTGTACTTAATATAATTAGCCAATAAAAGCATATGCAGTTTCTTATATCTATTTCCACCAATTCACACACCTTGGGGTAGGCGGAAAGAAATGATCTGGCATCTGAAACAAGAGAAAGCCGATGTCTGAGTCAAGGAAGTAGGAGTGAGCAGGAGGGCTGGAGAGGTTTTTGTACATCTCCAACAACCTTGCCCTCCTTTCCCACCTGACACATCACCACACCATGGTTATTGCCAGGCCTTTCTGCTGAGTTTTGAGAAACAATAGCCGCTGACCAACTACCTTTTTCTTTTCTAGATTCCAGCCCTCGACACAACAGGAATCTCCTCTGAGGATTCTGCCAGCCATAAAGCTCCCCTCCCCAACAGCTCCCAAATCACTCTCAAGCCTGAAGAGTGCTGCCCTGTCTTCAACACCACAACTACACCCGGGCTGCCGGAACTAAGGTGTATTCCCCAGCAAGATTTAAAGTCCACTCGGGAAAGTAATACAGTAAGTCTTCTACCTTAAAAGCTGTTATGAACTGTAATGCTTAGCAAATTGGCTGGGGGGGTGGGGGTGAAATTGCAAAACACTCTTTTCACCCTGCAACTTGTATTTACAAGCACATTATGAAACTTCCTTGTAATCAGGTTGAGTGACTTGAGCACCATGTGATTCAAAGACAATTTAGGTGTCAAAGTGAATAGGCTCATTTATACAATGGATACATTTCTCACAACCAGTCAATAATTAATGTTTCAAGTTGGGTGCAAGAACCATGTCGAAATTGACATCCTTTAAAATGACATCCTTCTGGGTGATCAAGAGGAAGGGAAACAGAAGAAACTTCAACAACAGAATCATAAGTATATGGCTTACATAAGTATACTACAGCAAGCTGGAATCGTCTGTCCATTGACTCCTCCAATTATGCTAAATTGCCAGAATGTAGACTGTGAAAACTGGTAGGAGTTTTGAAATAATTTCACCCTTAAGGTTTCTTAAATGTATAATTAAAAAATAAGGGGTGGAAAAGGTGACAGAAGAGAAATGGCTTTGGAAATAGAGCAAGCGTCACCATTACTACATGACCTTGAAAACTTTACTTCGTTCTGTGAATTTCAGTTTTCTTCTCTATGATTGGAAGTGATAAATCTTCCTTTGTAAGATTATTATGAGGACTAAATGAGCTAGGTACAAAGCGCCTAGCAGCGAGCCTATCATAGAAGAAACGTGTACTAAATTCTGGTTCTCAAACCTTCTCAAGAAGAGAGAGCCCATCATTGAAATGAGTTACAAAGTTCCTTATGCATGGGAACTTTCCTAGAGAGAAGGCCCATAACTTTCATCTATTGCTCAAAGCTCCAAAAGGTTAAGAACCACCACAATAGACTGAACGTCTCAAAGGTAGGAAAGCCCCTTATTCATTTCTATATACACGGTGGCACATTATTTTGAGACATGAATCAAGTATTCCTCCTGGAACTAGAGCAACCTGTTGGTTTGATTACTAAGGATGGTTGATTTCACATCTGTCCTGAACCCAGCTCTGCACAGGGTGCAGATTGTAGCAACAGCAGTATTAATGTTAATGACTAGCCTTTATTGAACTCTGTATATTCTAGGAATTGGGCAAATGATCTTATAACTATTAATTTATTTAATCACCAAGCAATCCCATGAGGTAGCTATCATTATTATTATCCCCATTTTTAGAAGTGAGAAATTGAAGAAGAGAAAGGTTAAGAATCTTGCTTAGTGCTACACAATCAGTAAGGGGTGGAGCTGGCGTAGGAATCAAGCAGTCTGACTAAGCGTCTACCCAAACTAAGTCTGAGAAACATACCTATCCTAAGGGAGCTCACCATCACCTTAATTAGATTTTTGAAAAGATACACTCTAGGAAATTTGGACTTGACACCACCCACTAGTGCCCAGCTGCTCCCTACTCCGTACTGGGGCTGGGATGCATGGCCCAAGGAACCCATACAGCTGGCTGGCTAGTTCCCGAAGCCACAAGCCGCAACAGCCTTCCCCTTCCCCAGCCAAGGAGCTTTACTCCAGCGGACAGTAATTAAGCTTAGACTTTTCTCCCTGGTGGAGGAAGCAGTTGCATAAGAATAAGAGACTCTTCCCCAGGCATTTTTAAACTGTTTCTTTTCTTCCCTCTTCTCCTCTTCTCCACCACATCAGTCAACCTTTAAAGGTTTTTTTTTTGTTTGTTTTGATTTTTTCCTTTTAGAGGACATTTTTACTGGGCCAGGCCCCTCAACTATCATTGTTTGTACTCTGTTAAGTTTTGGTCGTGAAAGGATTTGTGGCGCTAGTCTTGGGCGGTGGCCAATCTGCTGTGCTTTGCATATCTGTATGGTTTGTGATGCAAGCCTCCATCTTGCTTTACATCGTGGGGGCACGGCCCAGTAACCACTTGGCAAGGCTTTGTTTAGCAACCCTGCCTGAGGGGAGGAGCCCTCTCAGGTTTGATATCTGCATGTTTTCCTAGCCCTGTCTCTTAAAGGGCCCCACCCAGAGACTGGGTTTTCTTCTGCCTGTGTGTGTGTGTACTGTGTGTATTGTCTGTCAAAAGAGCTCTAATTAATTTGGCCTAAAGAAAGAAAAGCACTTGGATCAATAATTTCTTTTAAGGGAAGTAAAAGCTGCAGTACCTTTCAGTTTACGTGACTTTAATCTTTGAGAAATAAAAGCAGCCGTAAAGATTACTGGTGAAATGTAGGTCAGATGCAAGGTTTCCTTATTCTAATGGCAGTTAGATATGCTTCTTTAGAGGGGGGAATGAGACAGCCAGGTGGGAGGGGATCCCTGAAGAAACTCCAACCAGCCTGCCCACTGAGGTGGGGCCTCAGGAAGTCCAAGAAGTTTGCAGCAGGGAGGAGCCTGGCCCCTCCTCTTCCTGTGTGGAACCTGAGATTCAAGCTGCAGGCAGGAAGTGCTCTAGCAGGGACTCTGGCCTTGGGAGAGTCCCTGTTTCCCCCTTTTCTTCCTTTTCACCCAATGAAACCCTGTCTTACTATTCAATTTGTCTGCAAGCCTGAATTTTCATGGCTATGGGACAAAGAACTCCGTCTTTAGCTGAACTAACGAAAAGTCCTGTAACAATAAGATTATTTATGATAGCCAAAAAGTGGAAACAACTCAAATATCCATCAACATTTATACAATAGAATTGTCTAGAAAATGTAAACTAATCTGTAGTGGCAGAAGGGAGATCAGTATCAGTGGTTGCCTGAGATAGAGCAATGGCAAGGGAGGATGGAGGAGTGATTACAAAGGGGTATAAGGAAACTTCTGTGGGTGATGGTTATATTTATTGACTTGATTGTACTCATGGTTTCATGGGTATGTACGTATGTTAAAACTTATCAGATTGCACACTTAAAAATGTAACTGTTTATTGTTTATCTCAAAGCCACTTTTAAAAATGACAGTAATACCACCTACATTCCAGGGTTGTTATGAGACTTAAATAAGATCATTTATGTTAAAATGCCAAAAACTAACACAAAAATTTAACATAAAAATAACCATTTAGTAAACAGAAGTTCTAACGTAATTGTAAATAATGGAGAGTCATTTTTTTATTGAGCAGAGGCATGAAAAAGCGAAGAATCTCATTTCAGCCGTTATAGTAGATCAATTTTAGTTATCTCCCTTCATATGTACCTTAACAATGAATTAATGAATACGTGTCCCAATGTACAAGTGCAATATATATGTATCTGTATTTGTGCATGTGTGTATATACATTAAGTCCTCACTAACGTTGTCAACAGGTTCTTGGAAATTGATGTTAAGCGAAACTATGTACTAAATGCCATAGGACCTTAACTCTTGTCTATACCAGCCTATGATAAAATTGGTTTCATTACACAGCCTGTCATTTTTGCTTTAAGGAGTAGTTTCCAAGAACTTATGGATGACGTTAACTAAGGACTCACTGTAAGTATGTATATATGTGTGTGTTTACATGTATATACATTCACACACATATATATGTTTACACTTTCTTGAAAAGTCCTTTCTACACAGTGCATTGGAAGTGGTCTACTTTATTTTCATTTCTATTGTTATAAAAGACCTCAAGGTTGTTTGGAATCAGTGGAATCAGCAATTTTCCCTATTTTTAATAAAAGTGGGAGCTTATTTTATGCTAAGCATTCAACTATGCCCTTGATGTACATCATAACAGTTTTCCTGGGAAGGAGGTATCATCAGCTCTATTTTACAGGTGAGGAAGTGAAGGAACACTAAGATTAAATGATATCTTTAGAATCACACAGCTAGTATGTAGCAAGGCCGGGGAACATATTCAACATAATCTAACCCAAAACTCCATAGTATTTTAGCTCTGCGAGGCTTTCTTCCCAAATTGCTAGATCTAGTATGTGGGTACATTGCTAATACCACCTCAGCAGTCACATGTACCTACAAATTACCAAGATGAATTCAAACCTAGCCTCACAATTAGTGTCACGTCAGTGTCAGTGAAGCCAAGGCTATGGTGAAGAGAGGGAGAAGAATCCAATTCAGCCAGCCATAAAAAATAATCATTAAATGTATGATTCAAGGTGAGTTTATAGATATTTTAAGTCCAAGCTAATATCCATGCAATAGGAATCAAATCGTTGAGACATTCCAAAATCTTAGTGCTATATACAAATTTCTGGATGGAATCTTTTTAGTTTGAAGTCTCATTTTTGTCTGTGTTCTCTGCTTTTGTTTTGTTTTGTTTTTTTTTTTTAGAGGGAGTCTTGCTCTGTTGCCAGGCTGGAGTGCAGTGGCGCAATCTTAGCTCACTGCAACCTCCGCCTCCCAGGTTCAAGCGGTTCTCCTGCCTTAGCCTCCTGAGTAGCTGGGACTACAGCTGGGCACATGCCACCATGCCCAGCTAATTTTTGTATTTTTAGTAGAGACGGGGTTTCACCATGTTGGCCAGGATGGTCTCGATCTCTTGATCTTGTGATCCACCTGCCTCAGCCTCCCAAAGTGCTGGGATTACAGGCATGAGCCACCGCACCTGGCTGTTCTCTGCTCTTAAACTAAAATTTTAATTTTAGAAGATGCTAAAGAAGATGTGGCTAAGTGTATCAAACTAATTTATCAAGTACTATAAATTGAACAGTTTAATCCTGAACATGAAATTTTAATAAAAGTGCCTTAATAAATCTTTAAGCACGTAAGGAAAAGTTACTATAATCATATTGGCTTTAAAAGAGATTTTCATTCTTTTATTTGAGGTCATAATAGATATAAGACCCCTAGGGAAATATAAAAATGAGAAATAAAAAGGTATTTTGTACAGTTATGGCTAATATTACAATAGTCTCATGTCTGGGATGTTAGACCTCATGCTTTGATCCCAGACAAGCTAAGTTAGATTGTCAGCCCTGCCACTTCATAGTTTACTGGGTTGCACTAGGCAAGTGCTTAGCCTTTCTGGGATTCACTTTCTTATACTGTAAAATTTTGCCAATGGCAGCACCTACCTTTAGAATTGTTCTGTGAATTAGATAAGGTCATGTATGTTAGCAACCAAGAATGATTCAAGGTACACAGAAGTGTACTCAACAAATAGGGGATGCTATTAAAATAGAATTTGGGCTGCATAGGAGTTTAATGAGTTTAACTTTACTCCATTGCCTTTCCTGGCTGCAGGCAGTAGTGGGAGCCCTGGGCAGTTAGCTCAATGATGGGTGTACCCAGTGGCCTGAGGAAGGAACCTAGAACTAGGTTAAAGGATCCAATCCAAGTTCTGGGTAATCAATGCTAATTGCACACTCAACTGAGGAGCCTCCAGAACATCACCTTGGCATAAAAAGCATAGCTCTGACTTGACTTCACTTTTAACAATTGTTTGGGGCCGGGTGCGGTGGCTCACGCCTGTAATCCCAGCACTTTGGGAGGCCAAGGGTGGGTGGATCACATGAGGTCAGGAGTTCGAGACCAGCCTGGCCAACATGGCAAAACCCCGTCTCTACTAAAAATACAAAAATTAGCCAGGCATGGTGGTGGGTGCCTATAATCCCAGCTACTTGGGAGGCTGATGCAGCAGAATCGCTTGAACCTAGGGTGAAGAGGTTACTGTGAGCCAAGATTGTGCCACTAGACTCCAGCCCAGGTGAAAGAGCGAAACTCCGTTTCAAATAAATAAATAAATAAATAAATAAATAAATAAATAAAAGTAAAATAAAAATTAAAGAAATTGAGTAACAGCTTTACAATAACAATGCAAATTGTTAACATTTTTGACAACTTTGTATGTGCTCTGCCCTATATGAAACACTGTATATGCATTATCACATTGCATCCTTAATAATAATTATGAAATAGGTGCTATAATTACCCTCAGGTTATAGATGAGAAAACTGCTGCCTTGTCGGAAGGAAAGGTGCTGTTTGGTCTCTTCGCTGGCATCCCCATCTTTAGGAATTCCAGCCCAAACAAGCCGCCTTCCAATTAGCAGTAACCGTCCTGTGTGTGTATATGTGTGTGCACATGCATGTGGATGCATGTGTGTATTTGATGGCATTATATATGGGCTAGAAATCAGTTAATTGTTCTATGAAGTCTTTCTCTGATTAGGTCCTCATCTATTTTGTGGACATTGGTTTTGTATATAAAAGGATTGTCATCAGCAACCCAATGATGCTTTTTCTCCCAACACCCATAGCAACAGCCTTTTTTGTGAACTAAAATAAGTTTGATACGAATCCTCAAACTGGAGTTTTGACAGTTAGGTAAGAAAAACAGATCAGTGAGTACATTACACGCACTGTGCTGTAGAATAATCATTTTAAATAATGTATATAAAACATCATTGCATTTTTTCCTGGTTTACCTTTAAATTTGTTAGCATGCCAGAAATGCAACTGCCTAGCTATCATCAGTCCCCATTCCCCAAAAGGCAAACACTTCATGGGCTGCCAGTGAGAGGCATCACCTGCATACCTGCATAGAGACCTTCTTTCTCTAGCACACAAAGCTTATCCCTGAGACTGGAAGGGTTGAGCAGTCTCTAATTGTCTAGAAGAGCCAGGCCTGGCAAGTCCAGAAGTAGGTTCTAGGCTCTCTCAAACCTCACCCCAATTTAAACTTTGGCTTCATGTTTTATGAGTCTGAAGGCTGTATGCCCAGCTTCTGTAAAGACGGAAATTTATAAGTCCACAGGAAAAACAGAGAGGATAAAAGACAGTAAAATGAGATACCAGAAACCTGGTGTAGAGAATACATAATAGAATTGACCCCATAAATGTATCCTAAAGCATGGACTCAACATTCCAGTGTAGGGGTGGGTTGCCCCTCCACACCTGTGGGTGTTTCTCGTAAGGTGGAACGAGAGACTTAGGAAAGAAAAAGACACAGAGACAAAGTATAGAGAAAGAAATAAGGGGACCCGGGGAACCAGCGTTCAGCATATGGAGGATCCCGCCAGCCTCTGAGTTCCCTTAATATTTATTGATCATTTGTGGGTGTTTCTCGAAGAGAGGGATGTGTCAGGGTCACAAGACAATTGTGGGGAGAGGGTCAGCAGACAAACACGTGAACAAAGGTCTTTGCATTATAGACAATGTAAAGGATTAAGTGCTGTGCTTTTAGATATGCATACACATAAACATCTCAATGCTTTACAAAGCAGTATTGCTGCCCGCAGGTCCCACCTCCAGCCCTAAGGCGGTTTTTCCCTATCTCAGTAGATGGAGCATACAATCGGGTTTTATACGGAGACATTCCATTGCCCAGGGACGGGCAGGAGACAGATGCCTTCCTCTTGTCTCAACTGCAAGAGGCATTCCTTCCTCTTTTACTAATCCTCCTCAGCACAGACCCTTTACGGGTGTCAGGCTGGGGGACGGTCAGGTCTTTCCCTTCCCACAAGGCCATATTTCAGACTATCACATGGGGAGAAACCTTGGACAATACCTGGCTTTCCTAGGCAGAGGTCCCTGCGGCCTTCCGCAGTGTTTGTGTCCCTGGGTACTTGAGATTAGGGAGTGGTGATGACTCTTAAGGAGCATGCTGCCTTCAAGCATCTGTTTAACAAAGCACATCTTGCACCGCCCTTAATCCATTCAACTCTGAGTTGACACAGCACATGTTTCAGAGAGCACAGGGTTGGGGGTAAGGTCACAGAATCTCAAGGCAGAAGAATTTTTCTTAGTACATAACAAAATGGAGTCTCCTATGTCTACTTCTTTCCACACAGACACAGTAACAATCTGATCTCTCTTGCTTTTCCCCACATTCCAGTTCATCATCAAGAGAGATGAACAAAGCTATCTCAAGGCCTAGGTTGCCATAAAGGAGTGTGGAATGAGTACAGTTAGGAATAGACGGGGCTAGCCTAGAGGTGGGTGCACATGAATAAATCAAGGGGAGACAAATATTGTAAAAGTAATTATAAGGGAGATTATGTTTAAGAAGGAGAATGTAGAATGCTATGTGAACATAAAATAGGGTAATAAAATGGGATAATAGTATATGGTGAAGGCAAAAGCAAGTATACAAATATTTTTTAAAAGCTTAATGTCCATTTAATAAATGGTGCGGGGAGAACTGGTTAGCTATATGCAGAAAAATGGAACTGGACCCCTTCCTTACACCTTATACAAAAATTAACTCAAGATGGATTACAGACTTAAATGTAAAACCCAAAACTACAAAAACCCTAGAAGAAAATCTAGGCAATACCATTCAGGACATAGGCATGGGCAAAAATTTCATGACAAAATCACCAAAAGCAATGGTAACAAAAGCAAATAATTGATGAATGGAATCTAATTAAACTAAAGAGCTTCTGCACAGCAAGAGAAACTATCATCAGAGTGAACTGACAACCTACAGAATGGGAGAAAATTTTTGCCATCTATCCATCTCACAAAGGTCTAATATCTAGAGTCTACAAGGAACTTAAGTGAATTTTCAAGAAAAAAAGTCATCAAAAACTGGGCAAAGGACATGAACAGACACTTCTCAAAAGAGGGCATTCATGTGGCCAAGAAAAGTGAAAAAAAGCTCAACATCACTGATCACTAGAGAACTGCAAATCAAACCCACAATGAGATACCATCTCACACCAGTTAAGATGGCAATTATTGTAAGTCAAGAAACAAGAGATGCTGGCAAGGTTGTGGAGGAAAAGGAATGTTTTTACACTGTTGATGGGAGTGTAACTTAGTTCAACCATCGTGGAAGACAGTATGGCCATTCCTCAAAGATCTAGCAGCAGAAATACCATTTGACCTAGCAATCCCACTACTGGGTATATACCAAAAGGAATATAAATCATTCTATTATAAAGATACATGCACACGTATGTTCACTGCAGCACTATTCACAATAGCAAAGACATGGAATCAACCCAAATGCCCATCAATGATAGACTGGATGAAGAAAATGTGGTACATATACACCATGGAATACTATGCAGACATAAACAGAAAGGAGATCATGTCCTTTGCAGGGACATGAATGTCGCTGGAAGCCATTATTGTCAGCAAACTAATGCAGGAACAGAAAACCAAACACCGAATGTTCTCACTTATAAGTAGCAGCTAAATGGTGAGAACACATGGACACATCGGGGGAACAACACATACCGGGGCCTGTCGGGGTGGAGGAAAGGAGAGCTTCAGGAAGAACAACTAACGGATGCTGGGCTTATTACCTAGGTTATGGGTTGATCTGTGCAGCAAACCACCATAGCACACGTTTATCTATGTAATAAACCTGCACATCCTGCACATATACCCCAGAATTTAAAATAAAAGTTGAAGAAAAAAAAGATTAATGTTTACAGTATAAAATATATGTCATGCCTGCTGATGACCATGCTAACTATATGGATGTAGCAAACTTCTGGAAGGCAATCCTGTTCTCTTTTGCCCTGCTATGGGAGAAGAAGGCCTTGTTAATGAGCTCTGAACAACTTCTCTTCTATGCCACGGATTCCCAGAGGGCTTCTGATACATGTTAGGGAGTCTCTCGGACATAAGAGGCCCTAGAGCTTGTCCAGAAACTACTGTCTGAGTGCCACAGAGGATCCACTTATAATTAAAATACCATGATTCAAATGCAAAATTAGCTTCGGCTTTTTTGGAAGAAATGTGCCAAGAGGGATCCTGCAGGAAGAGGCCTCTGGAATATTATATTATTGTTTAAATATTTGTGCCCATCATAGAGAGGGTTGTACATCCCTGTCCTGCCCTGCCAGGCTTAGCTACAAAACTTAGTTTGGACAGTAAATAATAAGCAGAAGTGATCCATACCACAACTGAACAGAAGCCTTGAAAGCAGTATACTGTTTGCCACTGCCTTTCTTTTCCTTCTGCCACAAGAAGAGTCATGTTCTTGTGAGGCACAGCTCCATCAGTACGGGTAAGAAAGACGTGTGGGCCAGGCGCAGCGGCTCACGCCTGTAATCCCAGCACTTTGGGAGGCCAAGGCGGGCAGATCACAAGGTCAAAAGATCGAAACCATCCTGGCCAACATGGTGAAACCCCGTCTCTACTAAACATATAAAAATTAGCTGGGCGTGGCGGCACGTGCCTATAGTCCCAGCTACCCAGGAGGCTGAGGCAGGAGAATCGCTTGAACCCAGGAGGTGGAGATTGCGGTGATCCGAGATTGCGCCACTGCACTCCAGCCTGGCAACAGAGCAAGACTCCCTCAAAAAAAAACAAAAACAAAAACAAAAAAAAAACAAAGAAAGAAAGAAAGAAAGATGTGTGCAGACACCCCACAGTAGACGTGAGGCTTGAGCAAGAAATCAACCTTGGCTATTATAAGTCATTTAGATTTTAGATTTATTTTTTTGTTTCCACAGCATAAGCTGCCTGATAAAAGGTTATTTTATCAAGATGACTATGGATACCCCAGTGGAAAGTTTTCTATGATGAGCTAAGAAGGACAGCTAATAATTGAGCACTTCATTAGTCATGAATTTCCACTGAAGCAAGACCAAAAATTTGGCTCTAAGCCCAAAGATACTTACTGCCATCTGCATATAACAAAGTTTCATTAAATATAACAAGAAAATACAACTATACTGGTTGCCTTTATTAGGTTATTAGGCTGCATGTGTCAAAACAACTCCTATCTAGCAACTAAGGAGGGTGGTCTTATTGGGGAAGAAGAGATAATACACCCAGAAAGAAGCTGAATCCTCACTTGACCTCTAAGGATGCCTTTCTCTCTTCCCCACCACTTAACAACCAGACCCAATGTCTTTACAAAGATAGAAATTTCAGAATAGTTTTTACTTAGGATGAATATGTGGGGTTTCCACATTTTAATGAAGCCGATGATATTAACCAAGGCAAACTTCTAAGGAAAGGCTTCATAATGTTAAATCCATAATGCTGCATGTTTAAAGACAATTTCGAGGCACTATCCACAGATAGATTCTCAGAGACATAAGCCAGCATTTTACATCGACTCTCCCTCCTGCCTCTTGGCTGCTTATTGTCTCCTAGAGTTTTGCCATGATGGACAGCTACAACAGAGTCAATTCATTCAGAAACGATTGAAATCCCTTCATAGTCTAGACATTATAGGATGTCTAGGAACAGGATGACTAAGGGTTTCATCCACCCTTGAGGAGTTGCTCTGTTGAGAGCAAGGGCTACTAAGCCATTTGCAATTACAGAACTACGAGGTAGTTCTGTAATTCCAGCCTGGATGAGAGTTACCTGGCTGAGTAGAAGCAAAGAGCCATGTGTGTGCTGAAGAAGAAAGAGCCATACCCCAATTGCTGGTCAGCTCAGGGTTGGGCATAGCACTCAGTATGTGATAGGATCCAATGGCCGTCAGAAAGCACTGAGCCATCCTAAGGGATTGGACAAAAAATTGTCCAGTCCCTTTCCATGAATTGTGTTATACTGTAACAGAGGTCTGCAGAGGGTGCTTCAGGGCAGCCTCTTCTTGTTGTGGTTGGGCAGACTAAAGCCTTGACACATCTACAGTCTGATGGTATTATCAGAGAGTGTGAAACCTTGGGGAGGCAGTCACTGGAGAAAGGACAGCAAAGCTTCAAGTACTTTCTGTCAGGCCTCTGAGCCCAATCTAAGCCATCATATCCCCTGTGACCTGTAGGTATACATCCAGATGGCCTGAAGCAACTGAAGAATCACAACAGAAGTGAAAATGGCCTGTTCCTGCCTTAACTGATGACATTACCTTGTGAAATTCCTTCTCCTGGCTCATCTTGGCTCAAAAGCCCCCCCACTGAGCACCTTGTGTCCCCCGCCCCTGCCCGCCAGAGAACAACCCCCTTTGTCTGAATTTTCCACTACCCACCCAAATCTTATAAAACGGCCCCACCCCTATCTCCCTTCGCTGACTCTTCGGACTCAGCCCGCCTGCACCCAGGTGAAAAACAGCCTTGTTGCTCACACAAAGCCTGTTTGGTGGTCTCTTCACATGGACGCGAGTGAAACTTTCCTTAGTTAACCAGTACCCAGCTGTGGAGGCTTTTTATAATACTTCTGTGGGTGCAGGCAATGTTGTAAGATGGGAGGGCTTATAGCACAGTCTAGAAGCAGAACTGGCGTGTCCTCATCTACCACAGACCAAAAGCCCAGATAAAAAGTCTGCAAATGGACCAAGATTGGGGCCAGAAAAATAGAGCAAGGTGCTTGCTCTTGACACCTCTTAAAGGTGAGTAAACTCCAGTGAAATTTTGTATTGTCTGGTAGGCTCAGGAAAGTCTTCAGAGCTGCAGAATAGGAAGGAGTTAGTAGATGGAGGAGCCCCCTTGTAAGCAGCACTTGTACGGGCCTGGAAATAGACAAGGGGAGCTTTGCTTTCCAGGAGCATTTGGTTCACAGGAATAACAAGAATGCACACATGAGCTTGCATACCAAATGGTTAAGATTCGTAACATGAAAATGCTCTGTCTGCTCCCCTGCAGTGACCTCTGCTCCCCACGGAGGCCCTGAGGTCCTTGAGAGAATTCATCTGATGAAGAAGCAAATGCTGCTGCCCTGTCTTTGGGTTTAGAAGAGGACAACATGGGCTGAGTCCTGTTATTGGTAATGGATCTGCCAAGCCCCATCCCAGCCCTAACTGGAACTCTGGCAATCCACATGGTGAGCATTAAAGCCTGGTTTAAGAAGATCAGTGTCTGTTCTTGGACTTAGCTGAATGCTCTTAAGTGTACAGGCCGTGGTCCTGGCAGCATTGGTATTGACAGTCCTAAAGAAATGCACTTGTATGCACAGACAGGGTTGGCAATATGGCCATCAACATTTATTTTACTTTTACTTTCACAGTTTAGAGGATTTTATTTATTGTGAAACTGGTGAGACTGATCTTAAATTAAAGTGTTACATGCAATTAATTAATTACCACCAGGAAGTTCTTCCTTAATCCCCAGAATCAGCAGGACTCCTTCACAGGAATGCTTCTTAAGCACAGAATGAAATGGACTCTCTGACTTCCAAGCCCCTGGGATAGCTTTGGAATTTAGTCCAGCTAAAAAGAAACCTCCTAATTATTATGGCTTCAAACAATACTGTTTTATTTAGGGTTCTCACTCTAATCCTGTGAAAGGAGCTATATAAATCACCAAGTGAACTATACTCAGCCTTTTTCCTCCCCTACTGTCACACCCACATCATCACCAGATCGAAGGATCAAAGCCAACTCCAAGTATAACTGGTATTTGCTTCTCTAGAAAATTAGTTGTCAAAAAATTTCACTGAGGGGCCTAGATATTCACAAGATATTAACAGAGATTCCCCTGAAAAAAAAAAAAAGCTAACGCTGTTTTGACAGAATTCAAAAGATTATGTAACTGTTGGATGATACGCAGTGCTGTAACCCGATATAGCTAATGTAATTTACACTTAATTAGCATAAAGGTTTATTTAAATATTGGAAATCTGAGTATGTCAGTATGACTTTGAATTGATAATTTTTGGTATATCAAAAATAAGATTGAAAAGTGACACTGCAGTAGGGGACTAGGTATCAGAATGAATTAAGACAAGATTCCCTACATTCTTGAAGGCTTTCTTTTTTTTTTCTTTAACCCAGCGATGCTGCAATTAACAAGCCGTGGGAGAACAGAGCTCCATTATGACAAGTTCAGCTGTGGGAAAGCAACCAACAAAACACCACTTCTGAGAAAGGGGAAGCGATGTCAGGGAGTGTCATCTGCTGACGTTTGTTCCCACTGTTACTCCCCTCCCACTCACAGAACTAGGAGCTTTCCTGTCCTTTGACCTCTGAACTCCAAAAGAATGGCAAGCGCCAGTGGAACAGGAGTTTCTGAGAGTCCAGTGTCTATGGCATGTATTTGACAGCTCTGATGAAAAGTATGAGCTGTGAATTAGACTTCCCCTAGCAGAGATGTTTGTGGATAAGGAACCTGCTTAAAACGGTGAGGCAGTCAGAGTGTCAGAGGATTGGGAGACTGAGACTGACATGTGGGCAACAGCAGCAGAAACTGGGGACCTGTAGCCGGGAAAAGAGACGAGTTGGAGGCTACAAAATAGATATCTTCACACAAGAAAAGGAATATTGTCTGTGAAGGGACAATTTATCAAGGTAACAGCACTGGAAGTTTGTGCAGAATCTAGCCATCCATCCATCCGTGCATCCATTCATCCCTCCGTCATCTATGCAGCAGTTTTATAGCTAACTATGGAAAGACGAGCTTTGCGATATGTGATTTCTAGCAACAGCCAGCAGGTGGGTAAAAGTTTTAGGCATGTAAAGGACCCCCCAAATCACACTGCTTTCCTTATTATTCAAAATGTCTTCATAGCTTATATCCAGTGCCTTATTTTCCTATGTAAGTAGTAAAACAGAAATAACAATGAACAGACGAAATCTGTTAACTATTAATATCACAGACTTGAAGACTAGGGATCTTTTCTAGAAGGTATGCCTGCCTTGTTCATTACTAGAAAGCACACATTCAAGTTTCCACTTAGCCCCATTCCATATTCTGCCTCTACCCTAACTCCTGAAATAAACCTACTGTTGTTCTGTTGCAAATAGATCATATTTGGGTCAATTGCAGGTTTTGCAGCTGAAACCTTAATGAGTGAATACAATTGTACTAGAAGAAGTAACTCCCAGGAGCCCAGATTCATGCTTGCCCATACTGCAGAATAATAACTACCAATTATTTGTTATATACCAGAAGATCTATGTAGTGCATCTCAGATAAATCTCACGACAATCCTCAAATTGAGTGTTATCTCAGTGTTTTTTGTTCATTTGTTTGTTTTCTTTTGAGATGGAGTTTCACGCTTGTTGCCCAAGCTGGAGTGCAATGGTGCGATCTCGGCTCACTGCAACCTCTGCCTCCCGGGTTCAAGCGATTCTCCTGCCTCAGCCTCCTGAGGAGCTGGGATTACAGGTGCACACCACCACGCCTGCCTAATTTTGTGTGCTTTTAGTAGAAACGGGGTTTCACCATGTTAGCCAGGCTGGTCTCGAACTCCTGACCTCAGGTGATTCGCCCGCCTTGGCCTCCCAAAGTGCTGGGATTACAGGCGTAAGCCACTGTGTCTGGCTGAGTGTTATCTCCATTTTAAAGAAAGAAAACAGAGGCTTAGACAGTTAACTAACTTGTCCATTCACATGGTTAGTAATGTACAAAGCTGACCCCAAACCAGGCCTTCTCCATCACACTACACTTTCTGGATCCCTCCTACCCCTCCTAGATTAATTACTATAGCATTTATTCAAGTCATTTCAATAGAGCTATTATCAGAGGTATGGGAAAAGAGTTCAATGCCGAATACATTGAAGAATCTGGTTTAAGAAAAGTTAAACAGGTTTCTTTATGGAAGCATTCCTCAATGGCCTCAATAGACAAAAAGGCGTAGGCCTTATTTTTGTTGTTACTGTTATTGAAGAGCAACTCCAAAGACAGAGCAGTAAAAGTGCTATGGAAAAAAATGCAAACTGCTTTAAAATCTACCTTGCAAACAAGCACCATCCCAGTGCGCAGGGACAAGCCCTTCTGGAGGCATGGAACTCGAAGGTGCTGTGCTTTGGCATTTTGGCTCCAGTCCAGCGGAGATGCAGGCTGCCCACATCCTGTTGGGGGGCTAGGGCCAGACAGAGTTTACATCCAGGAGACCCTCCTAGCAAAGGCACTAAAAGCAGCGCTGCCTCCAGGACAATTCATGATCTCCTAGACAGTAGGGCAGCTGAGCGTGATGAGGAAGGGCACTGTCTCTCTGATTCCCAGGGCCTGTCATTTCCCGAGGGCTGGTGGAGCCCGGGGATTGGAGGGCAAGAAGCCCAGCCGTAGTCTAAAGGAATGATACTGAATGGGCCCTGTGTGCTGAGCAGAGAGGAGGAATAGATTTCCTCGCTTGTCCCTGGATACTTGCCAAACCTGAAGTAAGTACTGTATATGGTGAATCATTGTCAGCACCAGCATTGCCAGATGCTGGGCAATGCATATAAAAGAGCCTGCATTTGGAGGCATTGATTTCCTCAACAGAGCTCAGGTCTCTCCTCTTTGCTCCTGCCTCCAGGGTTGCCTCCTCCAACCCTCTACTCTCCACACAGATGCTCAAGAAATCTCCCTAAAGCAGATATATGAGTATATCCTTCCTCTGCATAAAAGTCTTCAGTAGTTCCAGAAATAGATGCTTGGAAATCTAATTACTTGCCTAAGGCCTCATAGCTTCTACTTCCTAGAACAGAGCCTTCGTACTGATCTGGCTTACGCACAAGCTGGTCCCCTTAACTACCACTACTTTAACCTATGGCTCCCATCTGGATGGTTTTGTGATGGTCCTCATCTGGGGACCTCAGCCACAGATGAACACTCCTGCTGGAATTAACCCAGCTCCAGATATCTCTCAGGATTCACCCCATCTTACAGTCATCTCATTGTGTCTTACTTCCCCATTAGACTGCAAGCTTGTTGAGCCACGGAATACATATTATTGAACTTTGTATCCCAACCCACAGCACAAGGCCTGGCCTGTCATAAATGTGTGTTGAATGGATAATACAAAATTTCCTAGGGCCCGTGTCCTGAGCTCCATGTCAAAATCTGTGCATTTGAATTCAAAGATACCTCACTTTGGCTAATCCAAAATATGATACTGATTTCTAGCATTTGTGATTCTTAATACCAAAGCCAATAAAACAAAATTGATATTAAAACCAGAATAAAACAGGCAGGATGCGGATTAAGATGAGTCAAAGTACAGAGAGGTGCAATATAGAATCTGACTCTGAGATAAGTAAAATACATTTTTTTTTAGATAATAGCCGGTATTCATTCCACTATAGAATGGTCCAGCTGAAATCCGTTTTTCAAAAGGTAGTGTTTTCTTTCCTCCTATTGTTATCCTTAAAAATTGAATTTTCAGTTATTCATCATTGAACCTGAAAGCAAGAACAGTTTGAACACCCATTTACCTTGTTCTCTAAATGTTTTAATCAGCTCAGCTTTAATGTTATGAAACTACTCAACAACGCTAAGTATTTATCATAATAATGTATCAAAATACAAATTCAAGTAGACATGTGTTTTTATTTTAAAGTGCACCATCTAGTCTTATGCTGACTCTGACCCAGACTGCCTTAGGGAGGTGCAGACTGACGATCTTTAGTTTAAACAAGAAAGGCCATTTTTTTTTTTGTCCAAGGGCAATAGTGAAACCACAGGTTATCAATTAATATGCTTGCTTGTCGAGTTAAATGTTTTGGTTCCAGAGATCAAATATTCCAGTATGAATCCCATTTTATACAGTGGCTGAATTATGGGTCATTATATACATATGTTAGCCAATCCCAGCACAGAAGGAACTGGAACCAAAGTCCTATCAGTTAGTCTGAGTCATGAAAGTGGATGGAGTTTCTCTTGATTCAGTATCGCCTTTTACTGGGCAGCAGGTGCAGCTTTTACCAATAGAGAAGGGACATTGTTGGGGTCATGCAGGGGGCAGGTGGGGTGTCATTACCTTCTCTAATATCATGTGTCAGTTTAGAGCCTTGCCTATCTTCTTCACTGCAACATTCCTAGCATCCAGCCAAGTGCTAGGTATGTACTATGTTCTCAATAAAAATGTGATGAATGAATAAATGTCACTGGATTAAAGGAAACTTAGGGAATAATTGACAGAGAGTTAATGCATGTGGAAATTAAGAGCTCAAACACTCGAGTCACACTGCCCAGTTTTCAACCCCAGCTCTGACCTTGACTACGTGTGTGTTCTTGGGCAAATCCTTTTACTTCTCTATGCCACCATTTCCTCATCTGGAAAATGATGATGCTACTCATACCAATCTCAAATAGTTATTGTGATGATTGATTTTAAAGCCTGAGAAGCTCTTCGAAGAGTGCCTACCTCATATTAAGTACTCAATGAGAGAATCTGCTATTAGCATCAATTATTGATAGACAGCCATGGATGCAGGGTAGTGTGACCATCCACTGTGCACCAAAGTTTGTGCAAATATGTAGAATCTCCTTCTCCATTGCTCCAGGATCTATGGCTTATGTAGCTCTGTATCTTCAGTGGCTGATCAAGAGATGGTTTGTAGTAAAGGAGTCTGGATGGATGGAGGCTTGTTCAGCTGTCTAAGCTGATTGGCATCTTTACAAATACACACCCTGCCACGGCCACTCTTCCTAGTTCAACGATCCCTCAATACTCTGGCTTCAACCCTCTGTTTGGACCCTTCTTGCTCTTCACCAGTTCCCTTGGCATGGTCTTGTGTTTGGAGTCACCCTGTGCCTACCCCCTTCAGTCTGATGGCTGAGTGGGACAATCTGCCAATCTCCATCATCATTTGTCCACAGGGTAATGTTTCTTTGATAGCATCTCCATGGTTTCTTACGCTGTAGCCTCGGGAAAAATGATAGCCTATCCAAGATTCCTGAGGCAACAGGCCCAATCTTTGCTATAGTGTCCCAGGTCTCCATTTTCCTTGGAAGGAGAAATTCAAATATCAGAGGCATTGTTCATAATATTTAAGGTCAAGGGCTTTGAGATTAGATCATTCTATGAATAGGTCATATCCCCACTGAGCTACCTACTTGCTCTGTGAACTTAGACATTTTGAACTCTATAGTTCACGGTGTCCTAATCTGTAAAATGTGAATAATTATAGAAAGTACCTCATAACTGCATGGGATAGTGCCTAGCATGATGTTACATACAAAAACCATCCAAGAAATGCTAGCTATTTTGCATTCAATCAGCTCACAACACTGAACGTCTACTATATGTCAAACCTCATTTTAGTCATTTAGTGACTTAGAGACGAATGAAACACTTTGGCTGCCCTCAAGAAGTTTACATGCTGAACAAAGGCGGGTATAAATGATAAACAAGTAAGCACACGGGTGTGTGACTTTGTGTATGATACGGTTTGGATATTCATCCTCGCCAAATCTCATGTTGAAATGTAATTCCTTATGTTGGAGGTGGGGCCTGGTGGAAGTTGATTGGATCATGGGGGTAGATCCTTAATTAATGGTTTGGCACCTTCCCCTGGGTGATGTGTGAGTTCTCACCCAGTTGATTTATTTGAGATCTCGTTGTTTAAACGTGTGTGGCACCTCTCCTCTCTCTCTCTTGCTCCTGCTCTCAGCATATGATGTACCTGCTGTCATGATTGTAAGCTTCCTGAGGCCCTTACCAGAAGCAAATGCTGGCACTGTACTTCCTGTACAACCTGCAGAAACATGAGCCAATTAAACTTTTCTTTATAAATTGCATAGCCTCAGGTATTCCTTTACAGTGATGCAAACAGACTAATACAGTGTAAAACACAATATAGGGTGATTTACGTGAAAGGGAAACCTGAACCATATATTCATGTGAGCAGCTGCCCAAGGGTTTAAGCCAGTTATTTAAATGTAGTATGTACAGATGAATAGTTATAAATTGAATATTAATTGTTTAAGATAAATAACTGCAACATTTCACTTTCTAAAACCAAACAAACAAGAGTGTATAAAAAGAGGTTTAAAAGTTGGTGAGCGCTTCGTTATTCTTGATAAGACTCACCTATGGACATCTGGGTCCATCAGTTAGAGCACATCTGTGGGACCGAAAGGGACTAAGGTAATCTTGCTATGCTACTGTTGGCTGTCATACATTCCTTTGGAGTCATCTAACCTGGACCTCAGAGGGGTGCAGCATGGAAAGAGCAGAAAAGAAAGGCTTTTTCTAGGCCTAAAAGATGAGTAGCAGTGGCTGGGCGCAGTGGCTCACGCCTGTAATCCCAGCACTTTGGGAGGCCGAGGCGGGTGGATCACAAGGTCGGGAGATCGAGACCATCCCGTCTAACATGGTGAAAACCCGTCTCTACTAAAAATACAAAAAATTAGCCAGGCGTGGTGGCGGACGCCTGTAGTCCCAGCTACTCGAGAGGCTGAGGCAGGAGAATGGCGTGAACCCAGGAGGCAGAGCTTGCAGTGAGCCGAGATTGCGCCACTGCACTCCAGCATGGGTGACAGAGTGAGACTCTGTCTCAAAGAAAAAACAAAACAAAACAAAACAAAACAAAAATGATGAGTAGCAGTGAGCCAGTGAAGAGCAACAGGAAGGATGGCCCAGCTAGAGGAGGATACTCTATACCACATTAGCTTCAGTGGACACATTTTTTTTTTTAATTGAGACAGTGTCTCGCTCTTGTTGCCCAGGCTGGAGTGCAATGGTGCAATCTCAGCTCACTGCATCCTCAGCCTCTCAGGTTCAAGTGATTCTCCTGCCTCAGCCTCCCGAGTAGCTGCTATTACAGGCATGTGTCACCATGCCTGGCTAATTTTTGTATTTTTAGTACAGATGGGGTTTCACCACGTTGGCCAGGCTGGTCTCCAACTCCTGACCTCAGGTGATCCACCCACATCGGCCTCCCAAAGTGCTGGGATTACAGGCGTGAGCCACCACACCTGGCCAATGGATGCAATTTCTGATCAGGGAGCAGGGATAAAACTTATAGCCTGGTCAATGGACAAGCCCCTAAAACTAGTGCTAGCAATCACTAAAATAATAAGGTCAGTATCTTTTTGTCCATAGCCTAACTTCCACTCATTTGGATAAGACTAAACACAAGGTAAAATCATAATCAGATGAACAGGTAAATATAGTTTACACTAACCAAGCAATCCGGTATGAACAAATTTAACTAGTCTCAGAATTATATGGGTTCGATTGGCCTAATTTCACTTGTGACATTCCACCTTATTTGTGTAATACTGCTACTACACTGAGATTTATCCTTTGAATCACAGCACACCAGCGAGCCATATCTTCAGTGGGATATAATGAAGGTATAATCACAGAGCATGTGAGTAAAGTCCCCAGCAGCCTACACATGCCAATTATTCAACATTACATTTGGATGCAATTTTATTTTCCCATCGGTTGTCTAGTCAGGTAATAGATGGTAAACCTTTTTAATCCTCTTACTGATTAATAATAAAATAGCCAAGGATGTAATAATTTCTAATGGGTTTTCAATTCTATATGTTTCCAGCTTACATTTAAGAGTTAACATTAAAAAAAAAAAAAAAGAAAAGCAAAATCTTACTTCAGAAAAATTTTAGGTACTTCCTTTAGCCTGAAAAGAAAATGCTAACACCAATTATAATACATTTCTTGTATAATGTTTATTCAACTAATTTTACCTCATCCTTCTCCTAGTATCTGAGTAACTGCATTGGAACCCATTGGGAACGTGCAGTACTGGCCACATTACTGTAGCTGACTGAGTCACATCCTTGGATTCCCAGAATTTTCTAATCTTTTGCTTTTAGGAGAAAGTAAATAAATATGAAGTATTTATTCTTTAAAAGCAGCTTCATATGGATATATTGAGAAACAAAAATGTAATTACTAATCTGTATTTTCTATATCTATAGGGTAAGCAATGAAAATTATGTAAATAAGAGTACCCTGAGTGCCTGCAAAGCATGACATTCACAAAGTCATCTATTTAGTTAAGAAGAAAGTAGTACATACAGTCCATGATCCAAGTGATGCAGTCAGACAGGGCACCCAAATTGATCCTAGATGGGAGCTTGGCAAAAGATAAGCTAGGTTGGTAAGTCCAACAGGCTTTAAACGTGGTATGAGGTACCTCTTGCCCAGAATTTCCTTGAGTCAAGCTACAGGCAGATACTTAAATTTATGCTCGAAAACAGTGCTTCTATTCACAATAGCAAAGATATGGACTCAACCTAAATGCCCATCAATGGTAGACTGAATGATGAAAATGAGGTACATATATGTACACCATGGAATACTATGCAGCTATGAAAAATAATGAGATCATGTCCTTTGCATCAACACAGATGGAACTGGAGGCCATTATCCAAAGCAAATTAACACAGGAACAGAAAACAAAATACTGAGTGATCTCACTTATAAGTGGGGGCTGAACATTGAGTACACATGGACACAAGGAAGGGAACAACAAACAACAGGACCTACTTGAGGACAGAGGGTGGGAGGAGGGTGAGGATCAAAAAACTACCTATTGGGTACTATGCTTATTACTTGGGTGATAAAACAATATGCACACCAAACCCCTGCAACATGCAGTGTACCTATAAAATAAACATGCATGTGTACCCCTGAACCTAATATAAAATTTTGAAAAAAACAGGAAAAAATAAAATAAAACAGTGCTTGATATCATCAGGTACAAGAACCCAAATTGGATTGCTTATTTAGACAAGAGGAAGAAAAAATGAAGCTACACATGGATGTATTGAGAAATAAAAATGTAATTGTTATTCTGTGTCCTCTACATCTACAGAAGTAGGCAATGAAAATTATAGTAACTCTTTATCAGATGTTAATGTGATCTGATATTATCATATTATAATATCGGATAAAGAGTTAATATCTGATAAAGAGTTAATATCTAAAATACCTAAGGAACTCAGACAATTCAATAGCAAGAGAACAAACTGACTTAAAAATGACCTAAGAGCTTAAATGGACATTTCTCAAAGTAAGACATACAAATGGCCAGCAAATACATGAAAAAATGCTCAGCACCACTAAACATTGGGACAAGCCAATTAAAAACACAATGAGATATTACCTCATATTAGTCAGAATGGCTATTATAGAAAAAGACAAAATATTAGTGCTGGTGAGGATGCAGAGAAAAGGGAACTCTTGTACACTGTTGGTGGGAATGTAAATTAGTACAGCCATTGTGGAAAATGGTATGGAGGTTCATCAAAAAACAAAAAGTAAAACTACCATATGAGCCATCAATCCCTCTCCTGGTTATATAGCCAAAGGATTTGGAATCAATATTTCAAAGAAATATCTGCACTACCATGTTTATTGCAGCACTATTCACTATATCCAAGGTATGGAATCAACCTAGGTGTCCATCAACAGATGAATGGACAAAGAATATGTGGTATATATACACAATGGAATACAATTCACCTTTTTAAAATCAGAAGAAATTTTGTCATTTCTGAAAACATTGATGAACCTGGAGGACATTATGCTAAGTAAAATAATCCAGGCACAGAAAAACAAATATTGTAGGATTTCACTTACACGTGGAATCCAAAACAATTGAACTTATGGAAACAAAGAATACACTGGTAGTTACCAGATGCTGGGGGTGTGGGTAATGGTGTTGGTCAAAGAGTATAACATTTCAGTTAGACAGGAGGAATACATTTTTTGAGATTTATGGCACAGAATGATGACTGTAGGTAACAATAATGTATTCTTGAAAATTGCTAAGGGAGTAAACTTCAAATGTTCTCTCCACAAAAAAGATAAATATTTGAGGTGATGAATATGTTAATATACTTGATTTAATCATTCCACATTGTATACATATATCATGACATCACATTTTATCCCATAAATATATACAGTTATAATTTGTCAATTTATAGCAAAATACAGTATTAGATTGCTTATCCCCAATACAAGGTAGAAAGCAGTGGGTAATGACTGGAATCAAGATGAGAAGGTCTACAAAAAAACGATAAGGAAGAGTAATGAGATAAGATATGGATAAGTGGCTTGGACTCCTGTTTTGGACTGTTGTTTATCCAGAAATGAACTTTGGATAGTGGTAGCTTTTAAACAGACTAATAGTAGGATTTTGTGTGGAATGAGCCAATCAGTTTAAAGGGAGCTAGGCACTGTGGAAAGATTCTAGGCTTATATTCTAGGTTATTTTGAAGGCTAAACCTTAAGCAGAAGCCAAAATCAGGAATCAGAAAAAAATAAAGACTCAAGGCATTAAGAGACAGAAACATCAACAGTGGAAAGAATGGTCAAACCAATGTTACCAAATTGTGCTTTTCTCATTGTGATTTGCTTTGAACAAGTTACATGTATGTGTGCCTTAAGGACACAAACCAAAACCTGATTGGCACAATAATGCCATCATCAATATGCAGCTCCACAAGGTAGAAAAAGGGGGCTGAGAGGTTTTCCCATCCAAGTGAAGCAGAGAGGATTTTTATCCCCAATCTTCAGTTAACTATATTATTAACTCCATTGATTCTTAAACATTCAAACTAGTTTAGATTCAGTTTTAGTTTTACTATTTTATTTTGCCTTCTTAATTGAAAATTTCTATCTATATACTTTATCAAGCATAAATATTGATGCTTCCTTCAATAAAATTAGGTCCCTTAATCTGTTCTCTGTGTGTGTGTGCACGTGAGTGCATATGGACATGCCTGAATTTAGCTATTATAACAGTTCGATTCTAAAAATATTCACCCCTGCATAAAAATAATTAATCCACAAGCATACCTCAGGTCTGTGGAGCTGAATATTAAACATGCTAACCAAGAAATTCAGTAAAATTGTAATACCGTATGTAGAAATCCTCTTTAAAACTCACCAGCGGTAGTTCAACTAAATGCTTGCCATTTTGCCCTTAGTTAAAAATATTTCCTTTCAAGCAAACATAGTAAGACAGGAAGCAAAGTGTAGTGAGAAAAACACATGCTCTGGAGGTTTCACATTTGCATTTAGATCTCAGCTCTGCTACTTACTAACTCAGTAAAGTTAAGCGACCTCTCTCTACATTAGCTTTTCCACAAGAAAAATGGGGATCATAGTAATACCTACCTTCTAGGGTTGATGTGTGTATCTGATGTATATGAAGGATCCCAGTAGAGTATTAGGTAGATGCAAGGCCTCAGCAAATGTTAGTTCTTCTTAATTCCTTTCCTAAGACTGTGGACGTATGTTTCTGAAGTGATATGCAAGGCTGTAAGTCTGCATGACTTCATGAATATATCTGAGTGTTATAACTAATAGAGAGAAATGGGGACGCGGTGCCCCTTTGATATGGTTAGGCTTTGTGTCTCCACCCAAATCTCATCTTGAATTGCAATCCCCATAATCCCCATGTGTCAAGGGAGACACCAGGTGGAGGTGATTGAATCATGGGGGCAGTTTTCCCCATGCTGTTCTCATGATAGTGAGTGAGTTCTCATGAGATCTGATGGTTTTATAATGGGCTCTTCCCCCTTTGCTCCGCACTTCTCCTTCCTGCCTTCTCCTTCACCTTCTGCCATGATTGTAAGTTTCCTGACACCTCCCCAGTCACGCTGAACTGTGAGTCAGTTAAACCACTTTCCTTTATAAATAACCAGGCAGTTCTTTATAACAGTATGAAAATGGATCAATACACCCTCCATTTATCAACTGAGTTATGGATTGCGTTTGGTTTGTCCTGGCCTCACGTGTGCTAAGGAGAGCGCTCTTGCAGCAAACAAGCATCCAATATCCTCCTCCACATTGCACTTCTCTATAGCCCAATATTCAGAGAATCTCATTTCAATATTTGTCATCGAGTCTTTGTTCTATAGATGAAACTACTCTGAAATCCAGAAACACAGCTTGATAACTGATGCTCTTATGATCTTTTACATTGGAGTTTTACTAAATAAAGATCTGTTATTATTTATGCCCTCACCAATCCTTTCCAAATAGGAAGTTGCTTTATACTAAATAGTTGGCCAAACAAACAAAGAAAATGTATACATCAGATGGTCCAGCCATTTCTCTACTGAGTAACCCTTACTGTCAAGAAATACATATGTCTGATAAACTTTTATTGTATTCATCACCTTTTTTCCTCCCAAGAATCGTCCATATGCTTAATAAACATTATTACATTGTTTTCCTTTTCATTCTCTTGGTTAAATCACATCAAGGTATTTCTCTTTGTTTTCTTTAGATTTGATCTTTTAAAATTCCTTAAGTGTGATCAGAAGATAATCATTGATTTTTATTATTTTTTATTTGTTTAGGCAAAAGTATTGGCTAACATCATAAATTGGAATTCCAAGTTTCATATTATTTAATGCCACTTATCACTTAGTGACATGGCAGAGAATGATGAGTTCTATTAATAACAATGGAACATGCAGCTAGAAATGAGAAATGAATTCCAGCTCTAAAAGCCTTGTATATTTGAGGACCAGAAATGCCTATGAGTTCACATAATTATTGTTTTCACCTACCATCACAGGAAATTGAGTCAAACAAAGCAATGATAACAGTTTAAATTTAAATCATGTCCCAGCTTGAGCTCAAAAAAATGTAGATCAGGGCTGGGCACAGTGGCCTCACACCTATAATCTCAGTGCTTTAGGAGGCCAAAGCACGAGGATCACTTGAGACTAGCATAAGGAGGCCCTGCCTATACAAAAAATAAAAATAAATTAGCTGGGCATGGTGGCATACACTTGTAGTCCTAACTATTTGGGAGGCCAAGGCAAGAGGATCACTTGAGACTAGCATAGGGAGGCCCTGGCTATACAAAAAATAAAAATAAAAATTAGCTGACCAGGGTGGCATACACCTGTAGTCCTATTTGGGAGGCTAAGGCAGGAGGATCACTTGAGCCCTGGAGTTGGAGGCTGCAGCGAGCTATGATCACACCATTGCATTCTAGCCTGGATAACAGGGCAAGACCTTGTCTCAAAAAATAAAGTAGATCAGCTATGTTTTATATCTTTATGAAGGAAGGAGAAACAAGGACAAACTGGGGATAGCTCTTTCCTATCTCAATGGATTGTTATTTTTTTTTCTTACTGCCAATGTCTAACAGATTATATTTCCTGTTGAGTGTCAGGAGTTGGAGGGATATTGCCTCTCAGACATATCACTGTATATCTGCTCCCTTTGGAAAACCTGGATGCTCATCCTGGCCTCTTCTCAAAGGGAAACAGAAAATAGAGACAACAGTTATCTTGCACTTTGTGTCCCCAAAACAGCCAAAAGTACCAGGTTTTACAGCCCTTCTGTGGGAATGTGGTATTGTAGTTTACAATTTGGCAATCCTGTTTTGAAAATGAAACTGAACTCAGGAGACAGCATGGTGGCCTGAGTTCTAATTCTGCTTCTGCCTGTAATAATTATGAGACCGTGGGAAAAAAATCTGATCTTTCTGGATAGCAGTTAGTTATTCCAGTTTGCCAGATGAAGACACTGAATACAAGTGCTTCTCCACTTTGCCACTTAAACTTTTCTCAGTCAACTATTTAAAATTGCATTTTAAACTCACACTCTAAGAGAAAACTTCCCCATCCTCATGGTGGTTGTTTTATCAGTATTCTCTGCTTTTCTGCCAAATTTATCATGTGGATGTGTCTCTCTGTCTACATTTTATTCATATTTAATACGGGTGATGATTCAATATGCAGAACCGTAATTTGTGACATCACAATAGTTCACACATTCATAATTTTAACTTTAAACCTACGATTACACATTAATTATGAATAGCACAGTAGAGACTATTTGAGTCCCAATTCTGAATCATTAAAAGACAAAGGCATGGTAAGTTACCTCTATTAAAATATATGTAACTCTGGGAGATGTTAATATCCATTTTGGGAGCCAAGTGTTGTATTCACTCAGAGAACAATATAGCTAACCATGATTAACTCTAAAAGAGGTGAGAAACTCAATGTCTCTGTATGTTATTATTATAACTGAAAGTTATTAAAGTAGAATGTTTCAACCCAGAATGTTTGACATAGATACACACACTATGTCAAATTCTGGGTTAAAACACTGATTCACTGATTTTTTTTCTTTATGTGATAAAGAAACTTCTCGTTTAAGATTCCACATATAAGTGAGATCGCAAAGTATGTTTTTTCTGTCTCGCTTATTGCGTGTTGAAACATCATGTTGTATGCCTTAAATATGTGCTATTAAATGTTTAAAATAAAAATAAACTAGTTTTAAATGCAAAAAAATGCATACTAAGTTACAGGACATTTTAAAAGTTGCTGAATCCTCTAAAAAGTGACATCTTTCTGATTCCAAAAAGGTGCTTTTTCTTCCATCTCATGTACACTTTCAAAAGGCATACATTTTTAAGATCCTGCTAATATACATCAGCTGAAGCTTACCACCCACAAAGGCTCTCTTTTCCGATGTTGTACTTACCACCTAGGCTTTTCTTTCGAAATCCCAAAGAGCTTTGAAATCACGGAGAGCTTTATTTCCTTCTTGCAGACAGACAAATGATGTGGAAAAGGTTAAGTGACATTGTCAAACATGGAACATCAAGTCAGAATGGAGTCAGGGACTGAACCTAAATGTTTGCCACAACAAAAGGGTTACTTATTAGCCACCCGGATGCTCTTTAAAATCTCCTTCCAAAAAGCATCGTTGAAGGTATCGTTTCTGATATATCTTGTATAGGGAAGCAGATGTTATCTGTATGCAACATCAGGCACTAAATTGCAAATTATTAAGTGTAATTAAGTGTCCTCTAAAGTAACTGAGTCTGACACTTCCCAAACTTTTCTTGCTCCTACTCTCTCAGTGTCTTAAATCTGAGAAACTATCTGGACTCTATACCAAAACAAGAGCCAATCTGTAACAAACTTTCTTGCATCCACACAGTGCCACAGTTGATTTCATTTTTCTTTTTTCAAATGTATGCATCATCTCAATGAGCCAAGGAAAGAAAAAGAATGCGTAACCTTGAATCAGGAGAGAATTAGGGAAGATAACTACAAGTTATGCTAGAAAAGTCTCTTTGAAATATATTGTATACATGTATTTTGGTAATCATTAGTGATGTTGATAAATATCCCAGCTCTTGTCTCCTTTCAGGTAAATGACAGATTATACTTCCTTGCTTCCTTTTAAATTAGGCATGGCCATGTGATTTGCTTTGGTCAATGAAATATAAGTGGAACTGAGGCATAATGGAAGTAATATGTGTGGGTGTGTCACTTCCAGGTGGAAGCTTTCAGAACAGGGCGTAACTGACCATGTTCTCCTCCCCTTGCCACAGTGACCTGGGAAGCACATATTGAGATGAAGTCTCCATCACCCTGGAGCCTGGAGTGGCCAGGTGAAGTAGAAGCCCCTGCTCAGCCACATTTTGTGTGCAGCATGAGTGAAAAACAACCTTTTGATGTGTTAAGCCACTGAGATTTGTTTTCATTTTTACCATAGAATGACTGAGGCTATCCTGATGAATTCATTCATTCATTCATTCATCAATATGTTCACACAGTTTTTTTGAGGGGCTAATTTTAGAAAGTAGTAGGCATGCCTGTTCTTCTAGACAAAAGGAAAAGATGATGAAGCCCTGGATAGGATTGGAGGTGGCGGGAGTCAAATTGTTGAGAAAATCTCTATCTCATGGTGTCTATTTTCCTAATGGTGCTGGAGATCTGGAGAGGAAGTATTGTAAACTAACACCTGGTTCCTACTAGGGGCAGGAGACCAAAGTTACTTGGAAATAAGTACGGATCTAGCCTTCAAGTGCCTCAGAGCCTAAAAGGAGTGATAAAATAGAGACATAAAAACTATGATACAAAGTTGAATAAGATAAGAGTTTAGGCCGGGCGCAGTGGCTCACGCCTGTAATCCCAGCACTTTGGGAGGCCGAGGCGGGTGGATCACCTGAGGTCAGGAGACCAGCCTGGTCAACATGGCAAAACCCCGTCTCTACTAAAAATACAAAAACTAGCCAGGCGTGGTGGCACGCACCTTTAATCCTAGCTACTGGGGAAGCTGAGGCAGGAGAATCATTTGAACCCAGGAGGTGGAGGTTGCAGTCAGCCAAGATGGCGCCATTACACTCTAGCCTGGGCAACAAGAGTGAAACTCCATTACAAAAAAAAAAAGAGTTCAAAACCAATAGACAATGAGAGAAAAGGTCAGAAGAAGGGAAAGCCACAGAAGCCTGTGTAGAGAAAGGGATGTTAAGCTGGATCTAAAAAGTGTTACTTGGAAAAATAGGTCTCAGAAGGTGGAGCAAGATAGTAGAATAGAAAGCTCCATTGATAGGTTCCCCACACCCCCCGCCAAGCAAGGACATCAAGTTAACAACCATCTGCACAGAAAGAAACACGTTCATAAGAACCAAAAATCAGAAAAGCACTTATAGTCCCTGGTTTTACTTCATATGGCTGAAGGAGGCACTGAAGAGATAGAGAAAAACAGTCTGGAATCGCTGATGCCATCCCCCAGCAGCAGTGGCAGCATGGTACAGAGAGCATCTCTGGGACTTGGGGGAGGGAGAACGCAGTAATTGTGAGACATTGAACTCAGTGCTGTCCTGTTAGAGAAGAAAGGAAACCCAAACCAAACTCAGCTGATGCCCACCCACTGAAGGAGCATTTATATCCACCCTAACCAGAGTGAAATCTATCCCAGTGGTCAGACCTTGAGTGCCTGCAAACCTCACAACCTAGGGCTATAGAACTCTGTGTTTTCAAGTAAACATGGAAGGCAGCCTAGGCCATAGAGACAGCAACTCATAAGCAAGTCGTAGTGCTGAACTAGGCCCAGAGACATTAGACTGAGGGTAGGGCATGCAACATACTGAGACATCAACTAGGGCAGCCACGTTCAGAATTCTGGCATCACCCCTCCCATAGCCCCATGCTGCACAGCTCAGGGCTCCAAAAGAGACCCATTCCTTCCACTTGAAAAGAGGAGAGGGAAGAGTGGGGAGGACTTTGTCTTGTATCTCAAATACCAGCTCAGCCACAGCAGAATAGGTCACTGGTCAGGGTTTTGAGGCCCCTACTCCAGGCCCCAGCTCCCAGATGACACTATTAGACACACCTTGGGCCAGAAGGCAACCCGCTGCCTTGAAGGAAAGGACCCAGCCCTGGCAGCATCCATCACCTGCTAACTGAAGAGGACTTGGGCCCTGAATAACCAACAGTGATACCCAGGCACCATATTGAGGGGCTTGGGTGAGCCTCTGAGAGTCGCTGGCTTCAGGTATCAGCATGGCCACAGTGAGGTAGAGCACCAAGCAGGCTCTTGGGGTCTGTAATTCCAGGAGTTGACTTGTGGACAGCACTTTTGGACCCGCCCTGGGCCAGAGGGGAGCCCACTGCCCTGAAACTTGAGTCCCAGGCCAGGCAGCATTCACCACAAGATGATTTGAGAGGTCTTGGACCTTAAGGGAAGATCGGGGGTAGTCTGGCAGTACTTCTCATGGACTGGGGTAGTGGTGGCTGTGGGGTGAGGCTCTTCTGCCTTTGGAAAGGGGACGAAAGAGTGTGAACATCTGTGCTCTGTGGTTTGAGTGCCAGCTCAATCGCAGTACAATAAAACACCAGGTAGATGTCTAAGGTTTTTGATGCTAGACCCTGTCTCTTGGACAGCACTTCTGGAACAGCCTGGGTACTGGGGGAAATCGCTGCCCTGAAGTGAAGAAAATAGGCCTAGCTGGCTTTGTCACTTGCTGATTTTACAGCCCCAGGGCCTTGAGAAAACATAGGCAGTAGCCAGGGAGTGGTTACAGCAGGCCTTGGGCAAGACCCAGCACTGTGCTGACTTCAGGTCTGTCCCAGAATAGTCATAGTGCTGGTGGCCACGGGGGTATACATGTGTCACCCCACCCCCAGCTTTAGGTGGCTTAGAACAGAGAGAATGACAATCTGTATATTTCTTTCAGGCTATTTGAAAATGCACAGTCAGAGGAGACAACAGAATAAGAAACAATGAAACATGCCTACATGGTCTAGAAAATAACTTCAGAAGGGCAAATCTGAGACTTACTGGCCTTAAAGAGAGAGTAGAGAAAAATACAGGGGTAGATAGCTTATTCAAAGGGATAGTAACAGAGAACTTCCCCAAACTAGAAAAAGATATCAATATCCAAGTACAGGAAGGTTATAGAAAACCAAGTAGATTTAACCTCAAAGAAGACTACCTGAAGGCATTTAATAATCAAACTCCCAAAGGTCAAGGATAAGAAATGGATCCTGAAAGCAGTGAGAAAATAAGAAACAAATAACATACAATGGAGCTCCAATATGTCTGGCAGCAAAGTTTTCAAGGTAAACCTTACAGGCCAGGAGAAAGTGACATGACATATTTAAAGTGCAGAAGGAAAAAACTTTTACACTAGAATATTATATCCAGCTAAATTATCCTTCAAACATGTAGGAGAAATAATGACTTTCTCAGATAAACAAAAGCTATTGGATTTCATCAGTACTAGACCTATCTTAAAAGAAATGCTAAAAGCAGTACTTCAATCAAAACAAAAAGGACGTCAGTGAGCAATAAGTAATCACCTGAAAATACAAAACTCACTGGTAATAGTAAGTACACAGAAAAACACAAAATATTTTAACACCATGACAGTGGTGTGTAAACTACTTTTATTCTATGTAGAAAGACCAAATGGTGACTCAATCAAAAATAAGAACTGTAACAACTTTTCAGTACATAGTAAAATAACAGATAAATAAAAAAAAAAACCAAAAAGTTAAAAAGCAGGGGAACAAAGTTAAGGCATAAAAGTTTTATTTATTCCCTTTTTGCTTGTTTGTTTAGGCAAATAGTCTTAAATTGTTATCAGGTGAAATAATGGGTTACAAGTCTTCCAGAAAAAAAGAAAAAACCCAGAACCTGATGGCTTCACTGCTGAATTCTATGAAACATTTAAAGAGCTAATACTAATCCTACTCAAACTATTCCAAAAAATAGAGGAGAAGGGAAGACTCCCAAAGTCATTAACAATAGAATGAAGGATAAAACACCACATAATTATTTCAATTGATGCTGAAAAAGCAGTTGAAAAAATGTAACACTCCTTCATAATAAAAGCCCTCAAAAAACTGGGGATAGAAGGAACATACCTCAACATAATAAAAGCCACACATGACAGACCCACAGCTAGTAGTATCACACTGAACAAGGAAAAACTGAAGCCTTCCTCTAAGATCTGGGACACAACAAAGAAGATATAAAGGTCATCTAAATTGGAAAGAAAGAAGTTAAATTATCCTTTTTTGCAGATGATATGATCTTACATGTGGAAAAACCTAGACTCCACAAGAGAACTATTAGAACTGATAAATACAGTAAAGTTGCAGGATAAAAAATCAACATACAAAAATCAGTAGCATTTGTATATGCCAGCAGTGAAAAATCTGAAAAAGAAATAAAAAGTAATCCACTTACAATAACCACACATAATAATAAACACCTAAGAATTAACTTAACCAAAGACATGAACGATCTCTATAATGAAAAGTATACAATACCGACGAAGAAAACTGAAGAGGACACCAAAAAATGGACAAATATTCTATGTTCATGGATCAGAAGAATCAATATTGTTAAAATGTCCATACTATCCAAAGTAATCTACAGATTCAATGTAATTTGTATCGAAATACCAACGACACTTTTCACAGATATAGAAAAAAAATTTAAATTTATATGGAACTACAAAGGACCAAGAATAGCCAAACACATTGTAAGCAAAAAGAACAATACTGGAGGAATCACATTACCTGACTTGAAATTATACTACAGACTGAGCTTTAGTAACCTAAACAGCATGGCACTTGTATTAGTCTATTCTCATGCTGCTATGAAGAAATACCCACAACTAGGTAATTTATAAAGAAACGAGTTTTAATTGTCTCACAGTTCTGCATTGCTGGGGGAGGCCTCAGGAAGCTTACAATCATGGCAGAAGGCACCTCTTCACAGGGAGGCAGGAGAGAGAGTGAGTGCCAAGCAAAGGGAAAAGCCCCTTATAAAACCATCAGATCTCGTGAGAACTCACTGTCATGAGCATAGAAGTCTTATGCAAGACAAGGCAAGTCCCTTCTGCCTATGAGCATGTAAAATCAAAAGCAAGTTTGTTACTTCCTAGATACAATGGGAGTACAAGCATTGAGTAAATACATCCTATACAAATGGGAGAAATTGGCTGAAACAAAGGGCTACAGGCCCCCATGCAAGTCCAAAATCCAATAGGGAAGTCATTAAACTTTAAAGTTTCGAAATGATCTTCTTTAACTCCATGTGTCACAGCCAGGTCACACTGATGCAAGAGGTGGGGTCCCATGGATGTGGGCAGCTCTGCCCCTGTGGCTTTGCAGGGTATGGCACCCTCCTGGCTGCTTTCACCAGCTGGTGTTGAGTGCCTGCAGCTTTTCCAGGTGCACAGTGCAGGCTGTCAATGGATCTGCCATTCTGGGGTCTGGAGGATGGTGGCCCTCTTCTCACAGCTCAACTAGGTACTGCCTCAGTGGGGACTCCGTGTGAGGGCTCACACCCCACATTTCCCTTTCACACTGCCCTAGCAGAGGTTCTCCATGAGGGCTCTGCTCCTGAAGCAAACTTCTGCCTGGACATACAGGTGTTTCCATCCATCCTCTGAAATTTAGGTGGAGGTTTCTAAACCTCAATTCTTGACCTCTGTGAACCTGCAGACCCAACACCACATGTAAGCCACCAAAGCTTGGGACTTGCACCCGCTGAAGCAATGGCCCAGGCTGTGCCTTGGCCCCTTTTAGCCATGGCTGGAACTAAAGCAGCTGGGACACAGGGTACCATGTCCCGAGGCTGCATAGAGCAGGGGTACCTGGGCCTGGACCAGGAAATCATTTATCCCTCCTAGGCCTCCTGGTCTGTAATGGGAGGAGCTGCCATGAAGGTCTCTGACATGTCCTGGAGACATTTTCCCCACTGTCTTGATGACTAACATTCGGCTCCTCATTACTTATGAAAATTTCTGCAGCAGGCTTGAATTTCTCTGTAGAAAATGGGTTTTTCTTTTCTACTGCATTGTCAGACTGCAAATTTTTCAAACTTTTATGCTCTGCTTCCCCTTGAACACTTTGCTGCTTAGAAATTTCATCCACCAGATATGCTAAATGTTTTCTCTCAAGTTCAAAGTTCCACAGATCTCTAGGGTAGGGGAAAATGCCACCAGTATCTTTCCTAAAGTATAGCAAGAATCACCTTCATTCCAGTTCCCAACAATTTCCTCATCTCCATCTGTGACCACCTCAGCCTGGACTTCATTGTCCATATCACTATCAGCATTTTGGTCAAAGCCATTCAACAAGTCTCCAGGAATTTCCAAACTTTCCCACATCTTCTTGTCTTCTGTGCCCTCCAAACTGTTCCAACCTCTGCCTGTTACATAGTTCCAAAGTCACTTCCACATTTTCAGGTATGTTTACAGCAGCACCCCACTAGGCGGTACTAATTTACTGTATTAGTCCATTTTCATGCTACTATGAAGAAATACCTGAGACTGGTTAGTTTATTTAAAAAAGAGGTTTAATTGGCTTACAGTTCCACATGGCTGGGGAGGCCTCAGGAAACTTATAATGATGGTGGAAGGAACCTCTTCACAGGGCGCCAGCACAGAGTGAGTGCCAAGCGAAGGGAGAAGTCCCTTATAAAACCGTCAGATCTTGTGAGGACTCACTAACTATCATGAGAAAAGCATGAAGAAAACTGCCCCCATCATTCAGTTATCTTCACCTGGTCCTACTCTTGACGTGGGGATGATTATTACAATTCAAGGTGAGGTATGGGTGGTGACACGGAGCCAAACTATATCAGTCCTGGCATAACAACAGACATATTGACTAATGGAACAGAAGAGATAACCCAGGAAGAAATACACCTACAGTGAACATACACTGGGGAAAAGAAAGTCTTTACAGTAAGTGGTGCTGGAAAAACTGTATTTCCATATGCAGAAGAATGAAACTAGACCCCTATCTCTCTCCATATACAAAAATAAAATCAAAATGGAATAAAGACTTAAATCTAAGACCTCAAACTATGAAACTAGTACAACAAAATATTGGGGAAAATCTCCAGGACTTCGCTCTGGGCAAAAAGTTATTGAGCAATACCCTATAAGTGCAGGCAACCAAAGCAAAATGGAAAAATGGCATCCCCTCAAGTTAAAAAGGTCCTGCACAGCAAAGGATGCATTCAACAAAGTGAAGACAACTCACAGAATGGGAGAAAATATTTGAAAACCATCCATCTGACAAGGGATTAATAATAAGAATATATAAAGAGGTCAAAAACTCTATAGGAAAAAAAATCTAATAATCCAATCAAAAATGGGTAAAAGATTATATATACCAACTACATAAAATTTAAAAATTAAAAAAGGAAGAACCAAAAACACAGGCAAAATAAATGAACAGACATTTCCCAAAATAAGACATACAATTGGCAAATAGGCATATGCAAAAGTGCTCAACATTATTGATCATCAGAAAAAATCAAATCAAAACTAAAATGAGATATTATTTCACCCTAGTTAAAGTGGCTTATATTCAAAAGACAGGCAATAACAAATGCTGGAGAGGATGTAGAGAAAAGGGAACCCCTGCACACTGTTGGTGAAAATGTAAACTTAACTTGTACACCATATAGAGTACAATTTGGAGATTCATCCAAAAAACTAACAATTGATCTACCACATGATCTAGCAATCCCACTGCCGAGTACATATCCAAAAGAAAGGAAAGCAGTATATCAAAGAGATGTCTGCCCTCCTCTTTGCTGCAGCACTGTTTACAATAGGTAAGATTTGGAAGCAACCTAACTGTCCATCAACAGATGAATGAATAAAGAATATGTGGTACTTATACACAATGGAGTACTATTCAGCTATAAATAAGGATGAGATCCAGTCATTTGCAACAACATGGATGGAAGTGGAGGTCATTATCTTAAGTGAAATAAGCCAGGCACAGAAAGACAAACATGGCATTTTGGGATTGAAAAATCAAAACAATTGAAGTCATAGATATAGAGAGTAAAAGGACGGATACTAGAGGCTGGGAAGGTTAGTGGCGGGGGGAGGAGGTGGGAATAGTTGATAGATACAAAAAAAATAGAAAGTATGAATAAGACCTACTATTTGATAACACAACTAGGGTGACGATAGTTAATAACAACTTAACTGTACATTTTAAAATAGCTTAAAATTCTAATTGGATTGTTTGTAACTCAAAGGATAAATGCTTGAGGGGATGGATACCCCATTCTCCATGATGTGCTTATTTCATATTGCATGCCTGTATCAAAACAAGTCATGTACACCATAAATATATACAACTACTATGTACCCATAAAAACTGAAAATAAAAACTCATTTACAAAAATAAAAAATATCAAGTAATATTTGAAGATACAGAAATGGGAAAAAGACATTTTAACCTACGGAAATACCACAACTGAAATCAAAAGATTTGGACTGTGAGGTTTCGTGGGGAACAGTAGTAAGTGGTTTTATGCACATGAAGCAGAGAGAATGTGAACAGGGGAAATAGGAAAGGAGTATTGGGTCAGATCCAAGAAGTGTCTCAATGCCAGAATAATGGCTTTGTATTTCATTCATTCTGCCATCAGTGGTGATCCATGGCAGACAACTGAGCAGGTTGGGGGAATCGGTGCTGTGACCAGAACGGCAAGTACAACATTGTACATAGCATCCTCTCCAATATAAGACATTTAGATACTTAATAATTCAGTACTAGGTTCAAGAACAGAATTAACCAAGCTACAGATCCGATTGACAACTGATACTCGAAAAAAGACACAGAAATTTAATATCTGTGTTTTCCAAGTTTACATGGTCATGAAAATCAACTAATGTGCTGGGGAGAAAAAAAAATAGAGATGTCTAAACCACCTCCAGGCTTCTCTGCCTGATAATTTATATTTTTAGCAATAAGTGCAGGTGATTACTATGATCAGGAAAGTTTAGGAAATCCTGGTGTAATTCAATACAGAGAAAATGACAGGCATGGTTGCATAAGAATTCAACATTTTCATCCATGATTCCGTTCTTTTATTTCAAAAACAAAAGGAATGAGTCTTGCATCCTTGGCAAGGTGCTAGGAATTGGAGACGCAAGAGTGAGAAAGACAGAGCACCTGCTCTCTCAAAGCTTACATTCTACTATGAGGAAGGGACAACAGAAGTTATATAATAAATTCTTTACAATTATGTGGAATGCTGAATAAAATGTTAGTATGCTATGAAGGTGCATACTAAGGATATTTGACTTCTTTGAGGGTGTCTGAAGGTTAAGGAAATACAATTGAAACTGATATTTGAATTATAAATAGGCATTAGCTAAGTGAGGAGGTGGAACAGATAATTCCAGGCAAAGAGATGATCACTGCATCTGCCTGGACAGAGAGTCCAGAAGAATCCTAGAGCATTTCATGGAGACTTGGCTACAGAAAAAGAGTTAAGCAGTCAACATGAGCTACAGCCCACACTGGTGACACACTGATATATACTCAATCTAAGTATGTGCCAACAAGATGGGACTCAGGCCTTGGCATAAGTCCCAGATTAGACTTCCGCCCTCCCCAAGCCTTGTGACCTTTCCCATGAAACCAATATGCTACAATACCGAGAGAACAATATTCTACTATCTGACTCACATTTCTCACTTGAAAAATTTAAACCAGTGCAGCATATTGGGAAAGTCTGTCAGCTTTAGAGCCAACAGACAAATTAAATCCAGCTTTATCACTTGCTAACTATATGGTCTTAGGAAAGTCATTTAATCTATTTGAGCTTTCATTTCTCCAACTGTCAAACGGAATTAATAATAATCTCTATGGTATGGAATATTTTGAGGATTCACTAAGGTAATACATACATAATATAGTGGATAAAAGCTCAAATCTAAACAGACCTATGATTGAATCCCATTTCTACCACTTACTTCCTGGGTGACATTGGGACAAGCTGACTTACCTTTTAGAGCTTCAATTTCCTCATTTGCAAAATGGTGATAACAGTGCATCCAATATGTTGTAAGGATTAGCAATAATGTGTGAGTACTGCCTCATCCAATGCCTGACACATAGGCAGTAATCTTCGAATGGTAGCCATGATTAACATTTTTGGGTATCAGTAGGATATTCTGCCTCTGATGAGTTCAAAAATAAATTTTGGAGCATGATAGGCAACAGGCCTGAACAGAGAGTCAGGAGCCCTTGGGCAAGTCATATTTTACTCTGAATTTTAGTTCCCGTAAGTGTGACATGAGGCAGTCATGCTTCTTAAACTACCTATAGCAAAGACTTTTTAAACTCAATACATCAAGACCAATACTTTTGCAAAACACAAAATCACAACCTTGGATGTCACTGCAATGCCAAATTGCTTTAGAACTTCCAAAGTGCTTACTCTCTTACTCTGCACTTCGTACATTGTGTACAGACAACAGTCCAAGACCAGTCCATGGACACATACTGAGCAGCATTGGCCTAGATGATCTCAGGAGGTGCCTCCAGCTTGGACACGCTGGTGGCAAATGGAACTAACACTACTTCACAACAACAGTATACTCTACACAGGAGAATTACAATCTGAACACCAGAAGGTCCAACAGTGTTTCTCTAAAGATGGCAAAAAGCCTGGCGGGCAACAGGCTGGTAATAGTTGTGATGTTCACCATCAAGTACTCACTGCTTGATGGGCTCATTCAAGACAAGAATTCAATCTCATTCATCTCTGAATTCCAGGGCCTATCACAGCGGACAACCCATAAAAATTTAATGGGTGAAATTAAATGGAGAGTTTTCCCAATTGTCATGATATTCAGGCTATTTCTGCCCTACACAATGCCTACAGGTTTTGGCTCTGTGCAGCAAAACAATTTTGCGGGGAAGGAGAAAAAAATAATTAAGTGAAAGAGGTATGCGTAGTAGATGTGTACAAGGTATACGTGCCTGAAACTTCTGAGTATGTGCTAGTGATGGAGAGGACATGGCCAAATACATATGTAGATGTGTAGGGGTAACCAGGAATGTCTTGGGCCAACAACTGTGGAGTGTGTGTACAAGAAAGGCAGCCAGCCCAGAATGGCACGTGTTTATATATGAATGGGTATGTTTGCTAGTGTGTGTGCCTACAGATGCACGAACATGTTTTAACTATAAGAATGCCCTAAGCTGGGAGTTCAGATTAAAATTTACCCAGCTTTCCTTTTCATTGACAAGTTGTCTTTCACCATTATGTCATAAGCTTTGTTAAAGCAGGAGGCTTTTGTATTCCCACTACCTAGAACAAGGCCTTACACATAGTAACCCTTCAATAAATATTTGTTTAAAGAATAAATTCATGGAAAGCATTTAGCACAATACTTGCACACAGTAAATGGTCAGTAAGTGTCGGTCATTATTGTGGTTATAATGCCTTGAGTGTAGTAAGAGCTAAACAAATGATAGTTGAATCTGAAATTCTAAATTCACAGTTGCCTATGTGGGTGATTTTATTTGTTCTTATTGGGATGTCTACCCAGCTATTTGTTTTTCTTTTTAAATAAGATTCATTGGGGTATAATTTATATAAAATACAATATACTTATTTTAGGTGACCAATTCAATGCATTTTGACAAATGTGTACTATTCATATAATCACCATCACAATCAAGATATGAAATATTCGCATTATCTCAAAAAGTTCTCTCCTCCCTCTTTGGACTACTCACCTGCTTTCTGTCATTATGGGTTTGTTTTACCTGTTCTTAATTTCATGTAAATTTCACATATACTCTTTTATGTCTGGCTTCTCTCACCCAGGAAAATATTTTTGAGATATGGTTAGTGTGGGTATCTGTACATCATCACTTTTTGTTCTGTTTTATGGATATGCCACAATTTCTTTATGCATTCACCTCTCATTAGACAGTTGGACTATTTTTAGTTTTGGGATATTAAAACAAAGCTGCTGCATAAATCTTAGCATAGCCATATGCCTTAATTTCTCTAGGGTAAATGTCTAGAAGTGGAATGACTGCATAATATGCTAAGTGTATTTTTAACTTTAAGAGAAATTGTCAAATATTTCCCCAAAATATTTGTAGAAAATAAAATCATACAGGATATCTGTTTGTGGCCATGATGGAGTAAGTGGTAGAGTACTTGCTTTCACACAGTAAATGAGTAAATTGGACAAAACAAATAGAACAGCTGCTTTCAGATATTGAATATCAGGCAGCAGTAAAATGAGTGTTCTGAGAGAAACAAACCAATTTAGCCCTATGATCACTCTGGTGTGGCACACAGTAGCCCTTGGCTAAATATTTCTAGAACATTATCCATCATTACATGTTAGTCATCATTATAACTAGCATAATGGCTTGCACAGAGTAGGAGTTCAAAAGTGATACTTGAATCTAAATCAAACTTAAGCAGTTTCGTATATGGACTTATTCTATTACTTTAGTGCCTTAAAAAACTTAGCATTTTCAGCAATGTCAAACCTGCATAAAAGTGGCAAAAATGTTGCAAAGAACTCCTGTGTATGCTTCTTCCAGAGACCCCATTCAAGTTTCATCAACCGTCTCAATAATACCTGTGATGGTAAAAGAATCCAATCCAAAACCACAGGTACATCCTATTGGTATATCCTTCCAATCTCTTTTAATCTGGAATAATGCCTCAGTCTTTCCTTGATTTCCATGTCCTTGATTTTCTAAAGATTACAGATAAATCAATTGGTAGAATGTCTTTCATTATGAGTTTTTCTAAAGTTTCCCAATGATTAGATCTAAGCTATGCATTTTCTATTGGACCATCAACAGTAATGGTATGTTCTCGTTTCACCCTATCAGATTTGATTCATCAGCCTAAGGCACTGTAAAATTTTGGTCACTTGATTAACTTGGTGTCTACCCTGTTCTTCTAGTGTGGAGTAAGTTTGTTTTCTTCTTCATAAGGTGTAAGTCTATGTTGGGGGTGGAGGGGAAGATACTATTAAACTATGTAAAATCCCATCCATCATCCCATTTTCTCCTGATAGTTTTAGCATCTGTTGATGCTTCTAACCTGAATTAATTTTATGATGGTTGACAAATGATTACTTTATAACCTGATCATTTCTTTTACACATACTAGTTAATCATCTATTATAAGAAAGGGCCTTGTCTTTCACCTATTTATTCATTTATTTAAAACTGAAAAGATTCATTACTATGTTTAGTGGACTTTAATACGTTACCACCATTATATATATAGATGCTCAAATTGTCCTGGATTTAGCCAATGTGAACCTCATCAAGCTGACATTTGCATCCTTTTGAAATATCTTTATTCATTACATCAGTTAAGGTTCTTCAGAAGAAATAGAAGCAACAGGATGTATATATATATATATATATATATATAGAGAGAGAGAGAGAGAGAGAGAGAAGAGAGAGAGAGAGAGCTTATTAATTGGCTCACATGATTATGAATGATGAGAAGTCCTATGACCTCCCTCTGCAGGCTGGAGAGCCAGTAGAAAGGCAGAGAAAGCAAATTCTCCCTTATTCTTCCTTTTATTGTATTCAGGCCACTAATGGATTGGATGAGGCTCACTCATATTGTGTAGGGTGATCTGCTTTACTCAGTCTACAAATTCAAATGTTAATCACACCCAGAAACACATATATACATCCAGAATAATGATGAACCAAATATCTGGGTACTCCATGGTCCACTCAAATTGCCAGAGAAAACTAGCCATTACACTGATAATTCTTTGGGCATTCTTTTATTACTTTCTCTTATTTTGGGAACCATAAGAAGGCTCCAGGTTCATCTCGTTATTTTCTGGCCCCAATTCGAGATGCAATCATTTCTCACAATGGCTCTGGCTCCTTTTATTGGACAGTGAGTGGTACAGTAGCTCGCCCTTATCCACGGAGGATATGTTCCAATATCCCCAGTGGATTCCTGAAATCACAAATAGTACCAAACCTTATATATACTATGTATTTCTTATACATTCATACCTATAATTAAGATTAATTTATAAATAAAGCACAGTAAGAGATTAACAACAACTAATTATGTGAATGTGGTCTCTCTCTCCCTCTCTATCTCTCTTAAAATATTTTATGGGTAAATGAAACCTCAGAAAGATAAACCGTGGATAAGGAGGGACTACTGTGTCTATAAACCAAGATTTGGATGCTAGATGTCCTTACTGCTACCATGGTGTAACTGTTCCCAGGGCTGCTCAATGAACTGAGTTAAAAAATGTATGTGTGTATATATGTGTGTTTATATGTATGTATATTTACATATTTATATATACATATTTATATCTATATTTATTTCTATATTATGTATGTACATATATGTACTTATATTTATATATAATATATAATTTATTGCATAATTGATTTATACATTATATATGTTGATATATGTAAAAATATTATTCCTATATTATTTTTACAATAATATTATTTTTAAATAATATTATTAGAGAACAAGGGAATACATTCATAAACTTATAGCAAACTGATTTTCAACAACGGCACCAAAAACACACATTGGGAAACAGACAGTCATTTCAATAAATGGTGCTAGGGAAACTGGATATCTACATGCCGAGGAGGGAAACTAGACCCCTATCTTTCACCATACACAAAAATCAACTCGAAATGAATTAAATAGTTAAATCTGACTCCTGAAACTATGAAACTACTAGAAGGAAACCTAAAGGAAATGCTTCAAGACATTTGTCAAGGATTCATTTGTTCAAGGATTTTTTAAATAAAGAACTCAAAAGTACAGTCAACAGACACAGAAGTAGACAAATGGGATTACATTAAACTAAAAAGCCTAAAATTCTTCTGCACAGCAAAAGAAACAATCAACAGAATGAAAAGACAATCTACAGAATGGGAGAAAATATTTGCAAACTAAGCATTTGACAAAGAATTAATATCCAGAATATTAAAGTACTCGACCAACTCAATAGTCAACAAACAATAATAATAATAATCTGATTTTAAAATGGGCAAATGACATGGAGAGACAATTCTCTGAAGAAGACATACAAATGGCCAATAGATATATGAGAAAGTGTTCAACATTATTAATCATCAGGGAAGTGTGAATCACAACCACATTGAGATATCATCACACACATCTCAGAATGGATATTATCAGAAGGAAAAAAAATAACAAATGCTAGTGTTGAAGTGGGGAAATGGGAGTTCTTATACATTGTTATTGGGAAGGTAAATGATTAAAGGCATTATGTAAAAAACAGTAAAACTAAAAATAGAACTACAATATAATCCAGCAATACAACTATTGAGTATTTATCAAAAGAAAATGAAATTAGTATTTTGAAGAGATATCTGCACTCTCATGTTTATTGTGGCACTATTCACAATAGCCAAGATATGAAGTCAACATAAGCGTCCATCAACAAATGAATGGATGAAGAAAATGTGGTATAGATACATAATGGAATATTATTCAGTCATTCAAAAGAAGAAAATCCTGCCATTTGTGACAGCATGGATAAATTTGAAGACATTATTTTAACTGAAATAAGCCAGGCACAGGAAGACAAATACTGCATGATTTCATTCATTTGTGGAATTTTTTTAAAGCCGATCTTATAGGACTGCATGCCAGAGGCTGGAAAGGGTGGGGTTGAATGAGGAGATTGGTCACAAGTACAAAATTAAAGAGAAAAAGGAGGAGTAAGTTCTGGTGTTCTATTGCACAATAGGGTCACTATAGTTAATAATATTGTATTGCATATTTCAAAGTAACTAGACGAGAGAGTTTTGAATGTTCTTACCACAAACAAACGATAAATGTGTAAGGTGATGGATAAGCTATTTACCCTAATTTGATCATTACACAACGTATACATGTATAGAAACATAACACTGTATCTCATAAATATGTACAATTACTTTGTGTCAATTAAAAATAAAATAAAACAAAAAAGTAAATAAAAATTACATTTTGCAAAGGAGTTTGTGTTTTAGGAAGACGTATGAAAGCAAGGTATGAGGTGGTGCAAAATCATGAGACTTAGCCTTGCTACTATTTAGCTGGGAGACCCAGAGCTAGCCATTTAACCTCTCCGAACTTTCTTCTGCATTTGAAATATGAGCTATTACCATTCCTATGCTCAAAATGTTGCTGGAAGAATTAAATAAATGATAAAGGTGACCTACCTAAAACAATGTATGAAATATAGCCTCAGTGCATAATATCAGAATCAAATAACTTGCAGTATGAGTATTAGATTAGAGAGATGGGGAGACTAGCTAGGCTGCTATTGCAGTAGTTCAACTGAGAAAGTCTTAGGCACAAACTGGGGCGATAGGAATGGAAAAGAGGGGACACAAGTAAGCAATGCTAATCTTGAAAGTGGACAGGGAGAGAAGCAGGGGAACTTAGGAAGGGATCTAAGATGCCTGCAGTCTCTCGTGTAGATGGCTGAGAATGGTGCAAAAAATGAAACAGATAGAGTAGGTGCCTGTGGAGGCATGGTGTGCGTGCCTGCACTTAGAGACAACATCTCAAATGACTGTTCATTCTATGATATTGTCAATACTTATTTATGTTCTTCTGTCAAGCTCTATAGTTGGAACATGGCATCACTATATCCTTGGCCAACTCCTGTTGGTGAGTCCTCTTTGGAAATTTCTAGTGAGAGTGTGATATGAGACAAATATCCATTTTTTTCCCCATGGTTCATTTTTTCCTTACCTTTTCCTTTATTTGCCTCTTCTTGTCATCATAAGGTTAAGGTCTTGAGAGTCTATACTTGAGTGTGGGACAAGGTGGTCACTTGGCCAAATTTCAGAGTAGGATGAGTCCTGGCCTTTAATCTAGGAGAAAAAGGTGTTTCTGAGGTTCACACGCAGGTTTTCATAAGTCATCATTCATAGGGCTTGTTGGCTATATGTAACGAATATTCATTGACTGCATTCTATGTATATAGACATATGCACGTGCGTGTGCACACACACACAGATATATACAATTTAATCACTGAATCTTTACAATATTCCTGAAAAATAGGTACAAGTATAATCGTAGCATGGCTGATTATGAGTATGTAGAATTTCAGGTGTGGAGGAGAGAAAAGAAACGCGTAAAAGAGGGATATGGAGGGTTAAAGCAAGTTACAATATGAGATTGATGCCCATGGCATCCCTCGCTGAGAAGGTGACATTTGAGTAAAGGAAATAAAGGAGCAAGCCTTGGGCTCTCTCAGGGAAGGGCTCTCTACAGAGAGGGAACACCAAGTGCCAAGGTCTGAAGCAGGGGCTGCCTGGCATGTTTAAGGAGCAGCAAGAATTTCATTCTGGCTGAGGTAGCATATGAGCGAGGGGAAGACAAGTATAAAGTGAGGTCACGGAGGTAAAGACAAACAGCTTGGGTGGGACTTGATAGATGTAAGGACTTTAGCATTTTCTCTGAGTGAAATGGGAGCCACTAGAAAATTTTGCAAAGACTGACATGACTTAACTTTCATTTTAGTAGGTTCATTCTCGCGGCTGTATTCAAAATACAATGGGATGAGGAGGGTGAGGAGAGAGGCAGATGGACCAAGCTCCCAAAGGTGATGAAAGCTTGAAAGCTAATATCTAGTGTACCTGTTATTAAGTTATTGCCTCTAAACTCCAAAATTCCTGTGGTTTCTGTCTCCTGATTGAGTCCAAACTGATAAACTTAAGTTAGTTGAACTACATTCATTTGTTGAGGAAACACTAGCCCGCCCCTCTCCCTCTAGCCTGTCCAGCTCTAAATATCTAATTTTCAGAGGAACCCATGAGTACTTGGTGTTTAGTGCAAGATTCAACCATCATGGGTCTCATCATTCCTCAATCACTTTCTTTTTTCTTTCTTTTTTTTTTTTTGAGACGGAGTCTCGCTCTGTCGCCCAGGCTGGACTGCAGTGGCGCGATCTCGGCTCACTGCAAGCTCCGCCTCCCGGGTTCACGCCATTCTCCTGCCTCAGCCTCCCCAGCAGCTGGGACTACAGGCGCCCGCCGCCACGCCCGGGTAATTTTTTGTATTTTTAGTAGAGACGCGGTTTCACCGTGTTAGCCAGGATGGTCTGGATCTCCTGACCTTGTGATCCGCCCACCTCGGCCTCCCAAAGTGCTGGGATTACAGGCGTGAGCCACCGCTGCCGGCCCCTCGATCACTTTCTATCGGAAAATGTAACTAACAGAATTATAGCCATTGCTTAACGTGTTCTCCACTGAAAACTAAATTACTTCATGTTAATACACATTTAGATTAAGACGTGATTGAAAAAATAGCTGTAAAAATCAACTAAACTATTCATAAATGCTAATTCCAGCTAATACTACATAGATGTCTCTATTGCTCTTTTATAAAACATTTTTCGGACCTAAGATGGTGAATAGATATGAAAATGAACACTCATGATAATAACTAAGAGTAATTATATACTTTACAAATACATAATTGAGAAAATAATAACAAAACTGATAGAGAAAAACTGTCAGTTTTACTTGTGGAGAAAAATTCAAATGATGCTTCACCCAAGAAATACTTACGTAATCAACACCTAATGAGCTGCAAAATGCAGTACTCCTCTTAATTTCCAGCAGGTATTATAAGCTCATAAAATCAAGTTATTTTAAGCAAGGAAAAAAAAAAAACCCATAACCATTACAGAAAGGCAAACTCTGTGTTATTTTACCATAATAAGTTTTTCCCTTTCCTGACGTTCTAAATGCCTATAATTTTAGTCACCAAGACCTTACATGAAGTTTTACTGGCAGAACGCTAAAGTGCCTTACGATCTTTGCTATTTATAGGGCACAGACTTGCCTGATACCTGATTCTCTGGCCTTCTTGTTTTTAAAGCCAATATCACCAATGCAAAGAAACAACATCCTGTTTAATCAGAACTGACAATTGACCTTTGATCGTGTGAAAAGCACAGCTGAAATAACTTACATGAAAATTGCCATTTTAAAGTGAAGAAGAAATGGATATACAATGCAGTATAAACCAAACTTATGATGTAATTTAGAAATACATGGTTAGGATTAGTGGGCAGAAATGTCCACAAATTAATTTTTTTTAAAAGGGTTCCATCTACAATATATGTGACTGATTACAGGTGTCTTTGAGGTCTTTACTGAAAACTTAATGAGGGGAGATAATAATCTATTAATCTTTTTACATCCAGTACCTAGTCTAATTCCTGGCATATAAGGGAGTCTCCACAAATATTAAATAAAATATGCTGTATCATTTGATAAATGTTTTTTGATAACTGTGTCAACCAGAATGAGATGGGTGTTTAAAATATCTTTCTTTTCATTCATTTCATGGTTAAGGCAGCAAAGTGTAACACAGCATTGCTCAGACCTTAGTCATTCTTAGGACACCTACAGGCTACTTGCCATATCCCTTATGTCATCCATATTATTGTTTACTTATCACTATTCTATAAATTGTGCCACATTTTCTACTTAAATTTTGTTTCATCTTAAGCCATAATATTTGTGAAATTAGAGGTGTTCTCTGCTAATTACATTTTACCATCCATGAAAATAAATGCATAAAAGGGGATATCTTTCCAGTTATTTGCATTTTCTTCCATTTCTTTCATCAGTGTTTTATAGTTCTCCATATACAGGACTTGCACCTCTTTGGTTAAATTTATACCTAAATATTTTTTGTTGCCGTTGGTATTGTAATTGAGATTTTTTTTTAATTTCCTTTGTGGATGTTTCCTTATTAGTATATAGAAACTCTGCAGATTTTATATGTTATTTTTGTATTCTGCTAGTATGCTGAAGTTGTTTATCAGTTCAAACAGGTTTCTGGTAAAGTCTTTTGGGTTTTCTGTATGTAAGATCGTGTCATCAGCAAATACAGATAATTTCACTTCTTCCTTTCCTGTTAGGATGCCTTTTATTTCTTTCTCTTGCCTAATTACTCTGGCTAGGACTTTCAATACTATGTTAAAAAGAACTGATGAGAGTGAGCATCCTTGTCTTCTCCCTGACCTTAGATGAAAAGCTTTCAATTTGTCATTGTGTTCATGGGTTGGAAGACTTAATATTGTTAAAATGCTCATAGTACCCAAAGTGGTCTGCAGATTCAATGTAATCACTTAAATTTCCAATGGAATTTTTCAGATAGAGAAAAATACTTAAATTTAGATAGAGCCAAAGGAGAACCTAAATTGTCAAAATGATTATTGGGCCAAGAAAAAAAAAAAAAAAGAACAATGCGGGAGGCATCGCACTCCCTGCTTTCAAAATACAAAGCTATTATAATCAAAACAGTATTGTACTGGCATAAAAAGAGACACATAGACAAATGGAATGGGATAAAAAGCCAAGAAGTAAGCCCATGCATTTATGGTCAGTTGATTTTTACAAAGGTGTTAAGATCACATAATGAGGAAAGGATATTTTCTTCAACAAATAATGTTGAAAAAACTCGTTACCTGCATGCAGAAGAATAAGATTAGATCCTTATCTCAGACCATATACAAAAATTAACTCAAAATGGACTAAAGACTTCAACATAAGACCTGAATTTCTAAAACTACTGTAGAAAACACAAGAGAAAACTCCCGAAACAGTTGTCTGAACGATGATTTTTGGATACAACCTCCAAAACACAGGTGACAAAAGCAAAAATAGACAAGTAGAATTTCATCAAAATAAAAAGCTTCTACATAGCAAAGAAAACAATCAGCAACATGAAGAGAGAGTCCACACTATGGTAGAAAATATCTGTAAACCATTCATCAGATAAGGAGTTAATATGTAAAATACACAAGGAACTAAGGCAGCTAAATATCAAGAAAACAAATAACTTGATTTAAAAGTGAGCAAAGAACTCAAACAGAAAAATCTCAAAAGAAGACATACAAATGGACAGCAGGTACATGAAAAAATCCTCAGTATCACAAATTATTAGAGAAATGCAAATTAAAACCACAATGTGATGTGGTCACACCTCATTTTATTGTACTTTGCTTTATTGCCATTTACAAAGAATTGCATTTTTTACAAAATGAAGGTTTGTGTCAATCCTACATTGGACAAGTCTATTGGCACCATTTTTCCAATAGCCATGTGCTCACTTCATGTCTCTGTGTTACATTTTGGTAATTTTCACAATATTTCAAATTTTTCCTATTATTATATCTCCTTTGGTGATCTGATTTCAGTGATATTTGATATTGTGATTCAAATTGTTTAGGGGCACTGTGAAATGTGCTTATATAAGACAGAGAACTTAACCAATAAATATTGTGTGTGTTCTAACTGCTCCACCAACCAACCATTCCCTCATTTCTCTCTCCCTCAGGCCTCCCTAATTTCAATCATTTCAATATTGAAATTAGGCCAGTAAATAACTGCAAAGGCCTCTAAGTGTTCAAGTGACAGAAGGAGTTGCACGTCTCTAACGTTCAATCAAAGTCTATAAATGATTAAGCTTAGGGAGGAAGGCACACTAAAAACAGAGACAAGTCAAAAGCTAGGCCTCTTGCACCAAACAGTGAACCAAGTTACGAAAGCAAAGGAAAACGTATTGAAGGAAATGAAAAGTGCTACTCCAGTGAACACACAAATGATAAAAAAAAAAATGAAACAGCCTTATTTTTGATATGGAGAAAGTTTTAGTGGTCTGGTTAGAAGATAAAACCAACCACAACATTCACTTAAGTCAAAGCCTAATGCATAGCAAGGCCCTAATTCTCTCCAGTTCTATGAAAGCTGAGAGAGGTGAGGAGGCTGTGGAAGAAAAGTTGAAAGCTCATAGAGGTTGGTTCATTTCATACCATAAAAGTGCAAGGTGAAGAAGAAGGTGCTGACGTATAAGTTACCAGATCTAGCCATAGTCACGGATGAAGGGCGCTACACTAAACAACAAATTTTCAATACAGATGAAACAGTCTTTTATTGGAAGAAGATCCCATCTAGTACTTTGATAGCTAGAAAGGAGAAGTCAATGCCTGGCTTCAAAGCCTCAAATGACAGGTTAACTCTCTTGTTAGGGGCTAATGCAGCTGGCACCTTTAAGCTGAAGCCAATACTCATTCTCATTTACCATTCTGAAAATCCTAGGGCCCTTAAGAATTACACTAAATCTACTCAGTCTGTGCTCTGTCAGTGGAACAACAAAGCCGGAATGACAGCACACATCTGTTTACAGCATGGTTGACTAAATATTTTAAGCCCACTGTTGGGACTTACTGCCAAGGAATAAAAGATTCCTTAAAATATTCCTGCTCCTTCACAATGCACCTTGTTACCCAAGAGCTCTGATGGAGTGGTAGAAGGAAATGAATGTTGTTTTCTTGTCCACTAACAATATCAATACTGCAGTCTGTGGATCAAGGAGTAATTATGGCTTTCAAGTCTTATTATTTAAGAAATATATTTTGTAAGGCTATAGTTTCCATAAGATAGTGATTCTTGTGATATATCTGGGCAAAGTAAATGGAAAATTTTCTAGAAAGAATTCACCATTCTAGATGCCATTTAAGAGCATTTGGGAGGTCAAAATGTCAACATTAATGAGAGTTTGGGAGAAATTGAGTCCAATTCTCATGGATGACCTTGAGGCATTTGAGACTACAGTGGAGGAAGTAACTGCAGATATGGTGAAAATAGCAAGAGAACCAGAATCAGAAGTGGAGCCTAAAGATGTGACCAAATTGCTTCAATTTCATTATAAAACTTTAACAGATGAGGAGTTGCTTCCTATGGATGAGCAAAGAAACTGGTTTCTTGAGATAAAATCTATTCCTAGTGAAAATGCTATAAATGTTGAAATGACAACAAAGGATTTAGAATATTGCATAAACGGTGGGTAAAATGCAATCAAACAGCATTGCACACGGCAGAGAAAATTTTCCTAAAAGGAAGAGTCTAATTGATACTGCAAACTTCATTGCTGTCTTATTTTAAGAAACTGTCATAGCCACCCCAACCTTCACCAACCACCACTATTATTAGTCAGCAGCCGTCAACATCAAGGCAAGACACTCCACGAGCAAAAAGATTACGACTGACTAAATGTACAGATGATAGTTTGCATTTTTAACAATAAAGTATTTTTCATTTAGGTTTGTACATTGTTTTTAGACATAATGCTATCGCACAGATAATAGACTACAATATCATGTAAACATAATTTATATATATACCAGGAAACCAAAAAAATCATGTGACTCCCTTTATTGTAAAATTTATATTATTGTGGTGGTTTCAAACCAAACTCCCAGCATCTCTGATGTATGTCTATATCCTCTCATGCCTGTTAGAATGGCTTTTACCAGGAAGATGAAAAATAACAATTGTTGGGGAGGGAGCAGAGAAAAGGAGACTCTTGTGCATTGTTGGTGGGAATATAAATTCGTACAGCAATTATGAAAAACAATATAAAGTTTCCTCAAAAACCTAAAATTAGAACTGCCACATGATCCACTAATCCCATTATTATTTTTTTTTAAAGAAAAGGAAATTAGTATATCACAGAGATATCTGCATCCCCTATGTTTATTGCAGCACTGTCCACAATAACAAAGATATGGAGTCAACCCAAGTGTTCATCAACAGATAAGAAAAAATCTCTTCTCAACTTCTCCCAAAGTGGTCCTTTTCAGTGATTTCTTGATATATTGTCAACATTAGAATGAATTTCAGTGATAACTTTTAAGACCCCTCTCCCTGGGGAAATCGGGATGAGAGGGCATGTAGTATACAGGGCCAGTAACTCTGTTCCATTTTGTGCCCAAATTCAAGTTCCCGTCACACTTTCTCTTGCTGTTTTTGTAAATATCCATAAAAGAAAGACTACGCAGAGATGAATAACATAGTGAACAAATAACTGTGTGGAAGTAATGATTGGAATTTACACCTCAGAAGATTAAATTAGCAAATAAGAAGACAATCTTGAGAAACTTTTCAGAACCCAGAGAAAACAGACATAAACAAAACTGAGAGGAGTAATATTAAATATGGGAGGTACAATAAATATGAGCAACAAATAAACGGCAGCTGGAAGAAGGTGAAAATGTATAAAACAGAAGCATTACTGAAGAAAAACTTAAGTAAAGGGGTTCTGACCTCAAGAAAAGCAGTAAGTCTAGAAATAAAGAGCATTCACTGAGTTCTATGAACAATTAATCAAAACAGATTCATATCAGGTATAACTATTAAATGTCACAAATCAAGAATTCTTGAATGGTCAAGCATCTACATTTCACCCAAACCAAAAACAAACAAGTGAACCTAATAATAGTTATCCACAAAGAAACAAGATCAAATTACCCTTAATCTTCTCCAAAACTGAAGAAGACGATAGATTATCGACCACAGAGCTGAGAGTGGGGAGAAGTATAAGCCAAGAATTTTAAATTGTAAAGGAAAAATAAAATTTTAAGCCCCCAACTGTCTGAATGCACCCTCCCCTTGACCAAGGGCATTCTAAAGTTAACCTGAAAAACTAGTTCAGGCAATGATGGGATATGGGGATTGGACATGCTGCATTATACTCTCCTCCCTTTGGAATTCAGGCAGAGCTGACCAGCATGAACATTAAAACAGAAATCTTAAGACTGAAAAAACAGAGTTTTTGTAGTAATAAGGCACCAAATTCCAGCCTGCTCTAATATAGCTTCCCATGACAGATAGCAAGCCCTGAAAGAAATCAAAGTGTCTTACCCCAAAATATATTTCTTGACACATTTTGGGCCCTGGAAAGCTGTCTGTTGTGGGGAAAATCTACATTCTATAGAGAATCTCCTTCTTTTCTAGGTCTTTTCTCTGCTCCAGGGGACAATTGACTAAGACTCTGGCAGCTTTTAAGGTCTGATAAGAGCTATGAAGCTTGCTACCTGGAGGTTTCATCTGCATGTAAAACAATGGTCTCCACTACCCTTTATCTTAATATCTTATCTTATTCTTTACTATTAATTCTAGGTCTTTGGATAATAACTCTTTCCACCACTTGCCTATCACAAAATCTTTGAATCCACCTATGACCTGGAATTCCCCACTTTCAGTTGTCTTGCTTTCCTGGAACAAACCAATACGCATCTTACATGTATTGATTGATGTCTTATGACTTCCTAAAATGTATAAAACCAAGCTGTAGCCTGACCTCTTTGGGCACATGTTCTCAGGATTTTCTGGAGCTGTGTCACAGGCCATTGGTCATTCATATTTGGCTCAGAATAAATCTCTTCAAATATTTGACAGAGTTTGACTCTTTTCATTAGCAAAATTAAACCACAGCACCAAATTTTCATTCATTTGTGAAAGAAATGGTATATACCTATATCTATATCTACCCTAAACATGTATGGATCTAGGGTTTGTGCAGCTAGAAGCTTTTTACAATTTAAAAGATCCATTTAAGACAAAGAATACAGGATGGTGCCCAGCACCATGGAGGAAGTGAGGCTTCTACAGAGTTGATGTGGGTTCTCTATTCACAGCAGCTCCACCAAGTCAAAGGTTTCCCTTAAGATCACGCTGATGTTGGATCCTCGGCTGCCATAGAAAATACTCGGGGTGTTCTTGAAAGTACACTTTTCCAGTAGTCTTAAAGTTTGCACAGAATAATTTAAAGATCTTGCTGGAACAAGTGCAATTAATACCAATGATAGAATAGGAATAAATACTGCACAGACTGCTGGAAATGTTTTTCTATAAATGTTCAAAACTACAAGTTATTCCTAGAGATCTTGTTGGAATTTGTTATTATCTGCTACTTGGGATATATGATTACCTTTAAGAATACATATGGATATTTGTTGTAAAATTGAAATCAGGCATTTAACATACAAAGAAAACACCAAAAGTCAATGAAATAATACAAGGTGACTCTTCTGTCTCTTTTTGTTGTTCACACTCTTAATATGAAGAGGGAATGCTTATGAAGTAAGGGTATTACCGCCACAGAAGATCATATAGTCTTTGATTGCTACCTCAAAACACAGACAGGTAGTTCATTTGGGGTAAATGGATTATCCAACTTTGTTTTTTAAAAGTAGGATGCTACTGATAGTTCTTTTTGAGAACATTTGGAAAATTAAAATTTACTGAATCTTACATATTTGTCTGAGTTAAAAATATAAAAGTATTATGGATTGTGGATGATGGCAGTTTGCTCAATAGCATCTGACTAGCACAGTCATAGTTTGATTCTTAAATATATGGCTTATGATAAAGGCAATAGACATATCAATGAATAAACTATGTTAACTTTTTATCATTTTGTTTTTTAAGCTCTCAAACCTCCTGTGTTATATAAATTTCAGTTTAATATCAAAGAACCAAAAACTGTATTTTAAAATCTAACCCTCATGTGTATAAATTGATGTCCCATACCAAATTTTAATGATTATCTTGCAAAATTCAGTACTCATAATGGTGAGAATTGACAATACAGTAGAAGATTCCTGTGTTAGTCCATTCTTGCATCGCTATGGAGGAATACCTTGGACTGGGTAATTTATAAAGAAAAGAGATTTAATTGGCTCATAGTTCTGCAGACTGTAAAACCATGGCATCAGCATCGGCTTGGCTTCTGGGGAGGCCTTAGGGAGCCTTTACTCATGTTGGAAGGTGAAGCGGGAGCAGGCACGTCACTTGGCAAGAGCAGGAGTGAGAGAGATAATGAGGAAGTGCCACATACTTTTAAACAACCAGATCCTGTAAGAACTCACTCACTATCATGACGACAGCACCAAGCCTTGAAGGATCCACCCCCGTGATGGAAACACCTTCCACCAGGCCCCACCTCCAACACTGGGGATCACATTTCAGCATGAAATTTGCGTAGGACAAATATCCAAAACATATCATATCCTTTGCTGAGTTATGCATTCCTTTATCAATCTCTTTTAATACAAATTTAAAAGCATGAATCTTCAAAAAACCATGTTTCTTTAAAATAAAATCTGATGTCCAAAGAACCTTGTTCCTTATCAAATTAAGCCGCAGTTAACCACAAATTTAGGAATACCCATTTCCTGAATTATTGGCTTAATTTGAATTTTCGGCTTAATTTGAATTTTCCTCCCTTCTGTTTCTAACACAAAAATCTGCCTGTTGTGCTGTACAAATAAGTTTACAATGTCCTGTGCCATAAAGTGATTTATTTATTGTTTTTGTTGTTTGGTTTTGAAAATGATATTGTAATAAGTTCCTAAAAACATTTTATTAAACAACTAGACATTTTGCTATTAAATAAATGTGATCTGTAATTTCTTTGTTCAGAATGATATGAAGTATTGTCTTTAGTTTAAACTCATTATTGGTGCATAATTAATATCTTACGAAAATTCATTTTGTTATACTATTTAAAAAATACAAATTTTGATATAAATATAAATATTTATTTAGGCTAAGGAAGCACAAGCTATTGCAAATTATGAAAGCTGACAATTACTATAAACATGATGGCCTTTTCCACAAACATTTGTTGATAGTCTGTAAACAGATTATATTAATAATGATCATTAACGGAAGTCAAATATATTATTCATCTATTGATATTACTTGTCAAACCCAATGGTCACTTTATTATCTTCTACTTACTCAATAGTTCAGCAGCATTTGGCATAGTTGACTACTCCCTACTTAAAATATTTTCTTCTATCTTCTTCTATGACATCACACTTCTGGTTTTTCTTTTACTTCGCTGGCTGATTTTTTCAGTCTCTTTTTCTGACTTCTACTCCTCTACTGAAATTGTAGAAAATTGAGTGTTCCAAGAATTTAATACTAGGCCACTTTTTGCTGTTTTGCTGTCCTTATTATACTCGTTTTCTAAGTGATTCCATTTCACTGCACGGGTTTGAATAACAAACAGTCCAAGGACCTCAAATTGTATCTCCAGCCTTGATGTCTCCACTGAGCTTCTGACTTATCAGGATATATCTAACTCCTACACATTATCTCTGTTTGGTTGCTGAATAGGCATCTCCAATCTAGCACACAACAAATGGACCTTTTGATTTCTCTCTAAATAAATCTGTACCTCTCCTAGTCTTTTGGCGTCTCAGAAAATTGTATTACCATTCATCTAAATGCTCAAGCCAAAAGCCTGATAATAATCCTAGATTTATCTTTTTCCCTCAACACCCTGCATTCAATCCATGAATAAATCTTCTCAACTTTGTTTCTAAAATAGCATCAGAATATGTCCATTTCCTCCTGTTTTTTCCACTACCACCCTGGTCTAAGTCAGCATCATATTCTGCCTAAACTTTTGTAATGCCTTCCTAACATCTTTCTACTCCCATTCCCCATAGTCTCACCTTCCCATAGAACATAGAATGATAATGTATAAAGGTAATTCTTATCACATCACTTTCATGCCTAAAATCCTCTAGTGGCTTGCCATTTTCTGAGAATAAAATCCAAATTGTTTACTCAGACTAACCAACAAACCCCTTCATAATCTGGATACTCGGACTCTCCAAAATCAATTCCCAACACTCTCCGTAGCTCACTATGCTCAAGGCATGTTGGCTCAGTCAAGTTGACATATGAAATTAACCTTCAAAATATGCAAAAGTACGCATAAAATAGTATAGGAAAGAGTTGCATTACTCAATAATTATTCTGAGAAAATCAGATAAGTACTTAGGAAAAGATGACTTACCTCCTTACCTTACTTGCCACATGGAAATACATTCCAAATGTGTTAAAGAGTTAACTATAAAAAAACTATTAAACATAACCTAAAAGTGTGGGGATTATCACAAGAATGAATAATCAGATTTCCCACTAATAGAACACTACTGAACATACCAAAAGGTATGTATCTGCCAAAATTTAAAGGCTATACTTGAGATACAGCATTTGGTTAATAGATTGTATAGTCAAATACATCTTTTTCTTTGATATTTATTTTACCGCTTCTACATTTGTAAATTCTTGATTTTCAAGAGAGTTGATATTCACTTGTGATTTTTCTACCTGAGCGTCTGTTTCCTTTTATAATTAAAATATGAATTATAGTTAATACGAAATTAATATTAAATCCAAATTAGAGACCTAGAAACATATTGGCGAATCCTTTACAACTTGACCCTTTCTCTTTAAACTTAATGCAAAACTGGGCTTCCAAAGAATTCTCTAGTAGTTCCCAGAATAATGATTTGTGTCTATCCTATCAATCCCTCCTGTCTTGTGCAATGAAAAGCCTATAGTAGAAAGAAAATAATGGAAAGAGTATAGCATTTGAAATCAGTCTGATCTAGGCTCAAATTTCAGCTGTATTACTTATCATCTCTTTGAATGGGAGCAGCTTATCTGGCTCCTGGGAATTACATTTCTAAAATGGGGGCAAAACTAGGATACCCATGAGATTAAATGAAACAATGTTTGTAAGGCATCTAGCATATAGAAAATAACAAATGTTAGCAGTCTTTCTCTCTCTTTCACCTACCCCTCTGGGGTTGTAACTAGCTCAGCATTCATTACCGGCATGCTCAACACGGTTTAGTTGCTAAACTTAATTCATCTACAAACTGATGGAGTCAGCTGGATACCCCTGAAATAAAAATTGTAACATAGAAGTTGTATTTTCCAATAATATTCCACAGAACATGTTGGCAGGACACGAGTTCAACTGTCAATTCACTAAAGGAAGGCAAGCTTCTTTCTAGTATGTTTTGTGAATCAGTCAGCTTTTGTCAAGTTATCCTATGGTAACAAATAGCTCCCAAGTCTCAGCAGCTTCCAACAATAAAAGTTTATTTATTTATTTATTTTTTTTTTTTTTTTCTTTTGAGACGGAGTCTCGCTCTGTCGCCCAGGCTGGAGTGCAGTGGCGGGATCTCGGCTCACTGCAAGCTCCGCCTCCCGGGTTCACGCCATTCTCCTGCCTCAGCCTCCCAAGTAGCTGGGACTACAGGCGCCCGCCACTAAAAAGTGTATTTATTTCTTACTCACTTTTTACAACCTTTACAGTTCAACTGCAGTTCTACTCTACATCGTCTTCATTCTGAGAAGAAAAGTGAAGAAGCAAGCCCTTCATGAGATATGCCAATTTCAGGGAAGACAGAAAAGTGAAGAGAAGAAAAGTGAAGAGAAGAACCACATGCCACATGAAGGCTCTGAAAGTTTCTGCTTAGGTGGCACACGGCACTTTCACTCATGTTTCATTGGCCAAGCCAAGTTACGTGGCCAAGCCTGATGTCAATGAGATGAGGAGTACAATCCTCCTGCAGGGATGACCCCATAGTTATCTTCTGGATAAGGTTGAGGGCAGCAAATAGTATAACAATACAGTCTAACACATCTGGTGTCTCAAATACATGGCTTTCATTTGAGGTAACCATAGAGTATCTAAAAGGCTGAGGTAAGACAGCTGTCACTTGAGTGAAATAGTGAAATGGTGTATGCAGATTAGTCATTTGTGGATTCTGTTAGGTCCATCATTGTAATGTGTTATGAAAAATCTGTTTTGGTGCTTTAATACTTCAAACTATGTTTTCTGCTCTAGGGAGAAGACAGCCTTCAGCTATGATGCAATGCTATGCCCTTTCGCTCTTTAAAAGATCTAGACAAGAATGGCCTATTTGTGAGCAGTGCTTCTGTGTCTTTTGTAGAACCACAGTTGAAAATATTGCCTACTGTGCTACTCAATACCCTTTAGACAAAGACCCACTGATATCATCAGAAATTTTGTCTGCAGACAAAGCTTGTTTTTATAGACTAGTATTTGTGATTTTCTTCTTCAGACAATAATAAGAGAAAAGATCCACCATGCTTCCCTCTTTGGAATTTCATTGCCAGAAATCTTGGTACCCAGTTCATTGCCAAATTATAGTTAGTGGCTTCATGCAGCTGCCTGGTAGAATTTGCTCCCTGTTGACTTTTGTGTCTGGTCTATTTTATTCCCTGATAGTCAAGATCTGCATTTTTAAAACATCTAACCTGTCTCAAATGCTTTTGGAAATAATCCAAATAGTGAATCCTGAAAAAAAATTTTTAATGTAAGCCATAATTATAAGCTAACTCAAAAGAAAATGTTTCAGTTGGTACTACGATATCTACAAAGGGGTAGAACACATTATGCCTAAACATTAATGTACTGTAAAGTCTCCTAGCTCTTAGGCCCTAGACTGCAAAAACGTTTTTTAAAATGTACATCTATCACAGAGCATTGCATGTAAATGCTTTTATGTGTGGAAATTCATAGCTAGATTGTGAACCTGACGAAGACAGAAATTCATGTCATATTTGTATTTCCAGCATCTCTCCTGTAGCTCCAAAGGGGAAGAAGAATTTCCTATACATAGAGCACCTTGATATATAGTGGAACTCAGAGAGGTTAAATAACTTGCCTGAGGTCATACAGCTAGGAGTCGCAAAGGTGAAATTAGGAATGAGTGCTGTGTCACTCCAGAGTGTGAACTTTGCATTATTCCAGTATTTCTCAAAGTAAAGCAGCATATGTACAACTGGTGAAATGGCACAGCCAGGTATGAATCTTTTAAATTTAATTAAATTATTTTATTTAAAATAATAATTATTATTTTTATTGAAAAATTACAATAGTATACATTTTACGGTACAATGTGATGTTTTGATATCTGTATACAATGTGGCATGATTAAATCAAATTAACATATCCATCACTGCATTTACTTATTTTTTGTGATGAGAAATGTGAAATTTAGTCTTTGCTATTTTGAGATATGCAATGCATTATTATTGATTCTAGTCACTGCCTTAGTCCATTTGTGTTGCTATAAAGAAATACCTGAGGCTATGCAATTTATTAAAGAAAAAGGTTAATTTGGCTTATAATTTTAATGTCTGAAAAATTTCAAGATTGGACATCTGGATCTGGAGAGAGCCACTCAATTGGTGGCAGAAGGTAAAGGTGAGCTGGCATGTGCCGAGATCACATGGTGAGTGAGAGCAAGCAAGAGAGATGGCGGAGATGCCAAGCTCTTTTTAACAATTGGGTCTTGTGGAAACAGATAGAGTGGGAACTCATTCATTACTGTGCGGATGGCACCAAGCTATTCATGAGGGATCTGTCCCCATGAACGAAACATCTCCCACCAGGCCCCGCCTCCAACACTGAGGATCAAACTTTAACATCAGATTTGAAGGGGCCAAACAAACAATATCCAAACTTTAGCAGTTGCCCTCCTGTGCAATAAGTCTTAAAACTTCTTTCTCTTACCTCTCTGAAACTTTTTACCCTTTGACTGATAACTTTTCATTCCCTTTCTTCCTCTTCTCTCCAGTCTCTGGTAACCATCATTCTACTGTCTACTTCTATGAGTTCAATATTTTTAGATTCCACATGTAAGTGAGATTATGTGATATTTATCTTTCAGTGCCTTTCAAGGCTCTGGCAGGCCTTGACTGCTCTTCTGCTGAGCCAGGTGAAGATCTAAAAGGCAGAATGTCCAGAAAGGAAATAGCTAAAGACTTTAATCAGCACATGATCATGGTTTGGGGGTGTAATAAGGCAGAAGCTCCCCAGAGTGGAAGAAAATGAAGTCCAGCCTCAGAAATCTGGACTTGGTACATGGTTGGGAGCTGCTGAAGGTTTCTGAGTAGGGCATAATCTAAACAGAGATCAGCCCATCGAATATTCATCTAGCACTACGGAGAACTCTGTGCTCACATAAAAGATTATCTTAACCAGTTGGATTTCAGACGAACTCTAAATAGCCCAGAAATATTCTGCTTGATACTCATTGCAAGGCTAATCATATTTGGCTTGTTTCTATTTATCAAGTACATTATTGTGTGACAATAGGTTGAATTTTGAATGAGAACATTGTAGGAAGAAACACACTGAAGGCTGTAAGGAAAATAGAACAGTTGTTTGATTAGTCTTCCAGATTTTTGCAGTTAAAGTGATTCCACGTTAAAAGAGGCAGAGTGGATTTTTTCTCAATTTTTTTCTTAAACCAGAGCACCTCAAAATCTCTTGATAACCTTGGATGCTCTCCTGGGCAACATGTGCAACATCTGATGATTTATACTTCATTTCTTAAGATTTACTTGGTCCTGTCTCCAAATGTAATCCCATTTGCCCTTGCCTTATGTTTGTTTTTTATGTTTATTTTATGAATCTATTGCTTCTTTCCTCTGCTTCCTTGTCTGTATCTTCTTACTTAATCCTATTTGATATATCCTCTGGAATTTCTCTTTTCACTCACTGATCTTCGTTTGTCAGTACCTCATAACCATGATCCTAAACTCATTTTGCAGAGATAAGCTGGTTTTCTCACAAGCCTAGAAGGGTATGTTTCCGGTTTCTGAAAACGCCACTGATCATTGCTTGAAGAATAGAAACTACCGACAAGAGAGAAGACCCTATGATATTACACTTTTAAAAAATGTTTTGTAATTTTTTCCAATATTGATTTTTTTACTATGGTAAGAATATTTAACATAAGATTTACACTCTTAACAAGTTTTAAAGTGTACAATAAAGCACCATTAACTGTATGTATGATATTGTACTGCAGATCCCCCAAATTTATTCACCTTGCATAACTAAAACTTTATACCCATTGCACAATAACTCAGTGTTTTACCAGTTGTTTAAAGATTTTACTATTGTTTAATTGTAAAAATTAAAACCAATTGTTTCAGACTTGCAATTTTCGACATAGGCTCAAGCCTAGGTGCTTACCTCCTTTCCTTTCCAAAACTCGATGAAAATCACAGTGAAGAAAAAGCAAGATAATAATTCATAAGAACCAAGAGAAGAAGTTGGATAGGAGAAACATCTGCAAGTAAAAATAACAACAAATATCTGGAAAATTAAAAGTGGATGAGCCACAAGTAAGGAAGCCAAAGACTAAAATTTGTGTGAAAAGGCAGTAGCAAAAGAGGGAGTCGATCTGTTCTGCTAAAGGCCAGAGAACTCAGAGCTCAGAAATGACAGGCACTACAGAAGGCAGAAATGAGAAAGACTGAAAGTAGAACGGTTATCTTGAGATCTAAATACACCTTACCCACCTTCTCTTCTATAGATATGCGGAACAGTCCGGCAGGTGTTTACCTGCCAGGAAGATAAAAGAGGGTTCTTTTCTAATGTAATGAAATGAAATGAATCACCTAGGGAAAATTAATATGAGAGCTGGTATCCCGAAGCAAAACCCCCATATTGACATTTATGGATCCCAAAGCAAAATATTTATTTTCTATCAGTTTAACCTAAAATGAAAGCTGTTGTTAACCAGCCAGAAATACATGAGAGCAGAAAATTCACAGGTTTTCTATTGCCTCATTCTACATATGAATGGGCAAGCATCAATGCAGATATGAGGAAAATATGAGATACCAAAGAGAAAAATTAAGATCTAAAAATGGAAAAAAGTGATATCAAAGGAAATAGAAATGATTCAAAGAACAGAAAACGGGAAAAAAGAGGAGGAGAGGAAGAGGAAAAGAAATGGCATGAAAAGGTGTAGCATCAAGGGCAACAGCAGCCACAGCCAGTATGCTGTACTGGGTTTGTGAGGGAGTGGAGGCAACAAGTCACAAGGGAAGTCCTTTGCATCAAACAACAACAACAACAACAAACAAAAAACATGAAACAAAAAACAAGAATAAGATGTTATGAAACAGGTATGATTAGAGATCAATAAAGAATTCTCAAAAATTAAAAGATTGCTGAAATTAAAAAGCTAACTAAAATATAATAATGGAAACCACTTTAAAGACACAATGAAACTAAGAAAAGAATTAAGAGAAGAAATACTTTTAAAAAACAGAAACTTAGTATGAGCAGTCTAACATCCAACAATCAGGTGTTCTGGAAAGACGGAATTGAGAATATGAATGGGATGAATTGCTAGAAGAAAGAAAAGAGAATTTCCTGGAGCTAAAGGGCTTGAGTTTTCCAAATGTTGCAGCCCAGCACAGAATAAAAGTGAAAATATCTACACTTCAATACACCAGTGTGACATTTCAGAACAGCTACAATAAGATTTTAAGAGAAAACATTAGGTTGCCTACAAAGGAATAATAAGCAGACCTACATCAAATATGGCGTCAGCAAAAGAAGATGCTAAAAACACCATATATATAGTATCTATATATATCTATAGATACTATATATGGATTCTATAGATATAGATAGTGTCAAAGTGCTATATACACAGGGTTCTTAATATACACATTATAATCTATATATACATATATATGCATATTATATATATGTGTATTATTCACACATATATATACACACATATATAACACATATATGTGTGTATATAGATTATAATGCATATATCTTTTTTCTAATAAGCAGAAACTTTAGGGAAGAAAGCATAATGACCTTTTGAAAACCTTTCCCTTCCTAGCATTTGATAAATCTTTAATATGGAATCCGATTATACAGAGGAAAATGTATTGGAACCTGGGCTCACTGCAGTGTAAGAGGTGCTGGAAACAGAAATGAATTAAGAACATCCTGTGCCTCAAGATTATTTCAAACCAAAAGGGGAGTAAAGTAAGAAAAAGTCAATTCATGCTTGATGTTATGTGTGAAGAAATAAATGGTTATGTCCTTTTGGGTTTTCTCAGAGAGTTTCATGGAGAAGAGAATTTTAACTGGACCTTGAATGAGGAGAAGGCGTTTGGTTAGTAATTGGTATAGTTTGGATATTTGTCCCTGCCCAAATCTCATGTTGAATTGTAATCCCCAATGTTGGAGATGAGGCCTGGTAGAAGGTGTTTGGGTCATAGAGGTTGATCCCTCATGGCTAGGTGCTGTCCTCAGGATAGTGAGTAATTTTTTTTTTCTTTTTCTTTTTCTTTTTTTTTTTTTTTTTGAGATGGAGTCTCGCTCTGTCACCCAGACTGGAGTGCAGTGGCACAATCTTGGCTCACTGCAACCTCCGCCTCCTGGGTTCAAGGGATTCTCCTGCCTCAGCCTCCCGAGCAGCTGGGATGCCCAGCTAATTTTTGTATTTTTGTAGAGACGGGGTTTCACCATATTGGCCAGGCTGGTCTTAAACTCCTGACCTTGTGATACACCTGCCTCGGCCTCTCAAAGTGCTAGGATTATAGGCGTGAGCCACCACACCCGGACAATAGTGAGTAATTTCTTGTGAGATCTGGTTGTTGTAAAGTGTGGCATCTCTGACCCCACTCGCTCTCTTGCTTCTGTTCTCACAATGTGAAATGCATCCTCCCCCTCTGCCTTTGGCCAAGAGTGAAAGCTCCCTGAGGCATCCTCAGAAGCTGAGCAGATGCCAGCGCCATGCTTCCTGTGCACCCTGCAGAACTGTGAGCCAGTTAAACCTCTTCTCTTTATAAATTACCCAGTCTCAGGTATTCCTTTACAGCAATGCAAGAATGGCCTAATACAGAAAATTGGTACTAAGGACTGGGGCATTGCTATAAACGTACCTGAAAATATGGAAGTGACTTGGAATTAAGTAACAGGCAGAGGTTGGAAGAGTTTGGAGAGCTCAGAAGAAAACAAGAAGATGAGGGAAAGTTTGGAACTTTGTAAAGACTAGGTTAAATAGTTGTGACCAAAATGCAGATAGTGATATGGACAGTGAAGTCCAGGCTGAGGAGGTCTCAGATAGAAATGATGAACTTATGGGGAGCTGGAGTAAAGTTCACACATGTTATACTTTAGCAAAGAGCTTGGTTGCACTGTATTCATATCTTACGTATCTGTGGAAATTTAAATTTGAAAATGATGATTTAGGGTATCTGGCAGAAGAAATTTCTAAGCAACAAAGTGTTCAAGATATGATCTGGCTGCTTCTAACAGCCTATGCACAGATACAGGAGCTAAGAAAGGACTTAAAGTTGGAACTTATATTTAGAAAGGAAATAGACCATAAAAGTTTGGAAAATTTGCTGTTAGGCCACACAGCAGAAAAGAAAAGCCCAATTTCAGAAGAGTTCAAGCAGTCTGCGGAGGAACCACTTCCTAGAGAATTTTGCATATCTAAAAAAACCGAGCCAAGTACTAGTAGGCAAGACAATGGGAAAAAGGCCTTGGAAGCATTTCAGGGACCTTTGTGGTAGCTCTTTCCATCACAGGCCCTGAAGCCTAGGAGGACTCAATGGTTTTGTGAGAAAGGCCCAGGGTACTGCTGCCTTGTGCAGTCTTGGGACACTGATCCCCACATCCTGGCCACTCTGGCTCTCATTTCAGTTCAAAGGAGCACAAATACAGTTTGAGCCACCATTTCAGAGGGTGCCAGCCATAAGCCTTGGCAGCTTCCAGATGGTTTTAAGCCTGCATATGCACAGAGTGCAAGAGTGAATGAGGCTTTTGAACCTCCACCGAGATTTCAAAGGATGTATGGAAAAGCTTGGGTATCCAGGCAGAAGCCTGCTCTAGGGGTGAAGCCCTCACACAGAACCTCTACTAAGGCAAAGGAGAGGGTAAATGTGGGATTAGAGGACCCACACAGAGTCACCACTTGGACACTGCCTAATGGAGCTGTGGGAAGAGGGCCATTATCCTCCAGACCCCAGAATGGAAAATCCACTGGCAGCTTGCACCCTGCACCTGGAAAAACCATGAGCACTCAAATCCAACCCTGGAGAACAGCCTTGGGGGCTGAACCAGGCAGTGCCATAGGGGAAGAGCTGCCCATGTCTTTGGGGTCTCACTCTTTGCAACAGCATGCCCTGGATAAGGGACACGGAGTAAAAGGAGATTATTTTGGAGGCTTAATACTTAATGATTGCTCTGCTGGCTTTCAAACTTGCATGGGGATACAGCCCTTTTTTGTGTAGGCTGATTTCTTCCTTTTGGAATGGGAATGTTTACTCAATGCTTGTACCCCCATTGTGTCTTGGGAGTAAATAACTTGTTTGGTTTTGCAGGCTCAGAGGTGGAAGGAACTCATATTCAGATGGGATTTTGGACTTGGACTTGGGACTTCTGTGTTAATTCTGGAATGGTTTAAGACTTTGGAAGACTACTGGGAAGGTATAATTATATTTTGCAATGTGAGAGGGACATGAGATTTTGGGAGGGGCAGTGGTGGAATGATATAGTTTGGATATTTTTCCCCACCATAATCTCATGTTGAGTTATAATCCCCAGTGTTGAAGGTGGGGCCTGGTAGGAGGTGTTTGGATCATGGGGGCAGATCTCTCATGGTTAGGTGTTGTTCTCATGACAATGAGTGTGTTTTCTCAAGATCTGGTTGTTATAAAGTGTGGAACCTACCCTCACCACTCTCTCTCCTGCTTTCATTCTTGCCTTGTGAAAGGCCTGCTCCCCCTTTGGCTTCCACCATGAGTAAAAGCTCCCTGAGTGCTCCCACAAAGCAAAGCAGATGCCAGTGTCCTGCATCCTGTACAGCCTGCAGAATCATAAGCCATTAAATATCTTTTCTGTATAAATTACCCAGTCTTAGGTATTTCTTTATAGCAATGCAAGAATGGCCTAATAAAATAGGCTTTCGGAAGGAAGATATCCAGGAGAAGGACACCCTAATATGGAAAGTCTTGGTGAAAGTTTGTATGAAAGGCAACCTCTGTCTGGGGAAAGTGAATATGTAGCATGGGCTAAGCATAGAGGTAATAGGAGAAGAATCTGGGAAGCCTAGATAATGTCAAATCCCAAAGAGCCTTGGATTTTTTATTCAGGAAATGAAAGAAAAGCATTGTGGGCCTTTTAAAGATGAAAAACAACATGATTGGACCTGAGTTGTAGGATGAGCCCTTTGATACATTGGTGATGGGTTGACAGGATCAGAGTCAAGGTGAAGAGTGGGACCCCATTGTAATTTTTGAGCCAAGAAATTGGGAAGTGATGAAGAGAAAAATGGCAGTGTGCATGGAAGAGAGGACTTTAAGAGAACCTGGTGACTAGTGGGCTATGAGGTAGAGAGGGGAGCAAGCGAGACAAAACAGGAATGAGTTGAAGATGACTCCAGTGTTCTCAGATGGGATACATTTAATTGAGGAGTAAGAAGGAGAATGTTGACACCAAGACAGTAAACTAGTTTTCAGCCTTCATCTTTCTGAGAGAAATGCTGATTTTGACAAACACACATGGATGAGAGTACCTTTGCAGGAGGCCAGGAATATGGTGGATGGGTCCCAGAACACCACAAAAGTAACGAACCCAAGAGTGGACACATTGAAAAAGGTAAGAAGAACAGTTTCACTTTGCCTACATCATTCCTTTCCCAAGGTAACACAGATCAGTGCCAAGAAAGAACCCCTCAACCCATGATTTATCCCACAGGGGAAATTGAGAGCACAGTGAATGCCTGGATGCTCAGCCATGAGGTATGATGCCCAAAAGCTAACTTACTTCTTGTCCCATTCAGAATACTGAGGAGATAAGCAAAGCTGAATAGTCTTTGGGCATCTAGGAGTATGAAAAAGAGATGAGAGTTCACAGCAACTGGGAAATGGAATTCAACAAAGAACTATGACTTATACCTGTCCGGAAGACTCCCTCAAGAGGTCTTCCCACAAACATGGTAGGATGCATCACCTTTGGGGTTCCTTCCCCCATCTAACTCTTGTGTACTCCCAGCATTCCCTGTGCCCCTTCCTCTCACATAGCAAACTCCCCACATATGTCCCCACAGACAGTATACATGATCCTCTACAGATAATGCATGAACACACACATCCATTAACTCAGAGACCAGTTATTTGAAATTATCCTGTCAGAGGAAAAAAAAAAGAATTGAGAGGAGTGAAGAAAGTTTACAGTTTTTATGGGACACCATCAAGGGAACTGATACACAAATTATGGTTGTCTCAGAAGAAGAGAGAATGAAAGGGAAGAAGGCTTATTTAAAGATGGCTGAAAAGTTCCACAATCTTGTTAGGGATATGGACATACAGGTTTATGAGGCTCTAAGGTGTACAACAGGATCAACCCGAAGATGATTCACCAAGACAAATCTAAGCAAATGATCAAAAGTCAAAAATAAAGATAATTTTTGAAAGCGGCAAGAGAAAAGCAACTCATCACTTACAAGGGAACCTCTGTGAGGCTCCCAGCAAATTTATCAGGAGAAACCTTGCAGGCCAGGACAGAGTGAAATAATATATCCAAAATGCTGAATGAAAAATCTCCTGCAAGTCAGGAATATTATATCCAGCAAAGCTTCCTTCCCCAAAGAAGGAGAGACAGTGACTTTCCCAGATAAAAGCTGAGAGTATTCATCACCATTAGACCTAATTAAAGCTCACTGGTGGCCGGGCGCGGTGGCTCACGCCTGTAATCCCAGCACTTTGGGAGGCCGAGGCGGGTGGATCATGAGATCAGGAGATCGAGACCATCCTGGCTAACAAGGTGAAACCCCGTCTCTACTAAAAATACAAAAAAATTAGCCGGGCGCGGTGGCAGGCGCCTGTAGTCCCAGCTACTCGGGAGGCTGAGGCAGGAGAATGGCGTGAACCCGGGAAGCGGAGCTTGCAGTGAGCCAAGATTGAGCCACTGCAGTCCGCAGTCCGGCCTGGGCGACAGAGCGAGACTCCGTCTCAAAAAAAAAAAAAAAAAAAAAAAAAGCTCACTGGTAAAGGTATGTATATAGTCAAATATAGAATACTCTCATACTGTAATGGAGGTACATAAATCACTTCTAACTCAAGTATAAAGGTTAAAAGAAAAATATTAAAAATAGCTATAGCTACATAATACCTTAAATAATACACAAAGAAAAATATGTAAATTATGACATATATAACATAAATTGTGGAATGGGGGAATAAAATCTGGAGCTTTTGTATACAATTTTCTTATCAGCTTATAATAGGAAGTTATCACTTTAAGATATTTTAAGTCTTCTTCATGATAAGGCCAAACAAAAAACCTATAGCAGACATACAAAAGAAAACGGAAAAGTAATCAAAGTGCTCCACTACAAAAAAAGGTATCAAATCACAAAAAAGATGACAAGAGAAAAAGAAAGAGAAAAGAAAATATGAAACAGTTAAAAAACAATAAAGAAAATACAATAGTAAATCCTTACTTAATAATTAATTTAAATTTAAATGAATCAAATTCTCCAATAAAAACCTGTAGCGTGGCTGAATCAATTTTAAAAAATCCAACAATATACTGTATACAAGAGACGGACTTTAACTTTCAAGAAATACACAGCCTGAAGGTGAGCTGATAGTAAAAGATATTCCATGCAAATGGAAACCAAAAATGAGCAGAGGTAGCTAAACACACATTAGATAAAATAGAATTCAAGTCAAAAACTGTTAAAAGGGACAAAGAAGGTCATTATACAATAGTATAGGGGTCAATTTTTCAAGGAGATATAACAATTATAAATACATATTCATCCAACATTTGAGTATCTAAATATATAAAGCAAATGTTAACAGAACTAGTGTCAGAAATAGAAAAACAATAACAGTAAGGAACACCAATAACCCACTTTCAACACTGGATAGATCATTCAGAGAGAAAATCAGTAAGAAGTGGAGTTGAACAACAATATAAACTACATAGATCCCACAGACATATACATAACAATTTATCCAACAGCAGAAGAATACACATTCAAGTGTACATGGAACATTCACTGAGACAGATCATATATTGGGAAAAACAAGTCTTAACAAATTTAAGAAGATTAGAATTATATCAAGTATCTTTCCTAATCACAATAGTATGAAACTAGATATCAATAACAGAAGGAAACTTTGAAAAATTACAAATATGTGTAAATTAAAGAACACATTCCTGGACAACTAGGAGGTGAATGAAAAAATCAAAAAGGATATAAAAAATACCTAGATGACAGGTTGATAGGTGCAGCAAACCATCATGGCACATGTATACCTATGTAACAAACCTGCACTTTCTGCACATGTATCCCAGAACTTAAAGTAAATATATATATATGTGTGTGTGTGTGTGTATGTGTGTATATATACATATATATATGTATATATACACTGAGAAAAATGAAAATGAAAAAACAACAAAACTTATGGAATTCAGCAAAAGCAGTTATAAGACAGAAGTTTATAGCGCTAAATTAAAAAAAAATCTCAAATCAACAACCTAATGTTACACCACAAGAAACAAAAATAGAAGAAACTAAGTCCGAAATGAGCAGAAGTAATGAAATAATGAAGATTAGATCAGAAATAAATAAAATAGCAGAAAAACTACAGAAAAGATCAATAAAACAGTCTTTTTTTTTTAAAGATAAACAAAACTGACAAACCTTTAGCTGGACTAAACGAGAGAGAGAGAGAGAGAGAGAAAGAGGACTCAAATAAATAAAATTATAAATAAAAGGGGGGCACTACAACTAATACCACAGGGGGGAAAATGATTATGGAGATTAAAATGAACAGTTGTATGCCAACAAATTGGATAACTTAGAAGAAATGGATAAATTCCTAGATAAATACAATCTACCATGACTAATTCATGAATAAATAGAAATATGAATGCACCAATAATGACTAAGGAGATTGATTCAGTAATCAAACACCTCCCAATGAGAGATGCTCAGGACCTGATGGCTTCACAGGTGAAATTTACCAAACACTTAAAGAAGAATTAATGCCAATCCATCTCAAACACTTCCAAAATTCTACTATGCAGCCATAAAAAAGGATGAGTTCATGTTCTTTGCAGGGACATGGATGAAGCTGGAAACCATCATTCTCAGCAAACTAACACAAGAACAGAAAACCAAACACCATATGTTCTCACTCATAAGTGAGAGTTGAACAATGAGAACACATGGACACAGGGAGGGGAACATCACACACACACACGGGGGCCTGTCAGTGGGTGGGGAGCTATGGGAGGGATGGCATTAGGAGAAATACCTAATGTAGGTGATGAGTTGATGGGTGCAGCAAACCAAGACGGCACATGTATACCTATGTACCAAAATTGCATGTTCTGCACATGTACCCCAGAACTTAAAGTATTAAAAAAAGAAGAAAAAACTTCCAAACTTGTTTTATAAGGCTTATGTTACCCTAATACCAGAGCCAGACAAGAACACTACGAGAAAAGAAAATTACAGGCCAGTATCTTTAACAAATATATCTATAAAAATCCTCAACAAATGCTAGCAAACTGATTTTAACTGCATACTAAAATGATCACATACAGTAATCAATTGGCATTTATCCCTGGGATGCAAAGAGGTTTGACAAATCAATAAATGTAATATACCACATTTACAGAATAAAAGATAAAAATCATATGGCCCCCTCAATAGATGCAAATAAGGCATTTGAAATAACTCAACAAACTTTGATGATGAAAACTCAACTAATTTGGTATTCAAGAAATTTATCTCAACATAATAAAAAACCATATATGACAAATTTACAGCTAACGTCATACTCAATGATGCAAAGCCAAAAGTTTTTCCTCTAAGATCAGGAACAAGACAAGGATGCACACTCTCACCGTCGCTGCTCAACATAGTAGTGGAAGTCTTAGCCAGAACAATTATGCAAGAGAAAAATATAAAAGGCATCCAATTTGGAAATGAAAAAGTAAAATTATCTCTGTTTGCAAATGGCACGATCATACGTGCAGAAATCCTGAAGACTCCACCAAAAACGTTTAAAACTAATAAGCAAATTCAGTAATGTTTCAGGATACAAAATTAATATACAATACACACAAATCAGTAGCATATTTATAATCTCTGGAAAAGAAATTGAGAATAAAAACCCATTTACAATACTATTAAAACAATAAAATACTTTGGAATAAATTTAACAAAGGAGGTAAAGGACCTATACATTGAAAACTATAAAACACTGATGAAAGGAATTGACAAAGGCACAAATAAATGGAAAGATATCCCATGTTTATACATTGGAAGAATTAAAAATTAATGTATCTACACTAACCAAAGGGATCTACATATTCAGTGCAATCTCTAAGAAAATTCCCGTGTCATTTTTCACAGAAATAGAAAATAAACCCTAAAATTCATATGAAGCCACAAAATACTCTGAATAGCCAAAGCAATCTCAAGTAAGGATAAACTTGGAAGCATCACTCCTAATGATTTCAAACTATATTACAAAGCTATAGTAATCAAAACAGGCTGATACTGGCATGAAAGCAGACACATAGATCAATTAAACAGAATAAAGAGGCCAGAACGAAATCCACATACTTACAGTCAACTGATCTTCAACTAAGGTGCCAAGAACACATAACTGGTAAAGGATACACTCTTCAATAAATTGTGCTGGGAAAACTGGATATCCACATACAGAAAAATAAAGTAGGACCCTTATCTCCCACTACATGCAAACATTAACTCAAAGTGCATTGGAGATTTACATATAAGATTTGAAACTGTAAAACTCCTAGAAGAAAAGATAGAGGATAAACTTCTTGACATTGGTCTGAGCGATATTTATATATTATATATATATATGACCCTCAAAGCACAGGTTAAAAAAGCAAAAATAGACAAATGAAATTACATCCAACTAAAAAACTTCTGCACAGCAAAGGAAAGAATCAATGCAAAGAAGAGACAACCTGTGGAATGGGAGAATTACAACTACACAACACATAAAGGGTTAATATCCAACCTATGTAAGGAACTAAATCAACTCAATAACAAGCAAACAAATAACTGAACTCAAAAATGAGCAAGGACATGAGTAGTCATTTCTCAAAAGAAGATATATTAATGACCAACCTATATATGAGAAGGTGTGCAACATCACTAATCATTAGGGAAATGCAAATCCAAAAAACAATGAGCTATCAACTCACACCTGTTAGAATGGTGTTATCAAAAACTAAAAAGATAATTTTTGGTGAGTGTATGAATAACGGGAAATCCCTGTACTCTGTTAGTAGGAATGTCAATTGGTATAGTCATTATGGAAATCTATGAAGCTTCCAGAAAAGTTAGGAACAGAACTACCATATAATCCAGCAATCCCACTACTGTGTATATATTCAAAGGATATGTAATCAGTATGTCAGAGATATCTGCACTCTCCTGTTTATTGTAGCAGCTTTTATAATAGGCAAGATGTGCAATCAACCTAAAGTCCATCAAAAGATGAATGGATAAAAAATGTAAGAGATATGTATGTGTGTATATGTATGTTTTTATGTGTATGTGTGTGTGTGTATTTCAGCATTCAAAAGGAAATAATGTCATTTGGGACAACATGAATGAATTTGGAGGATATTATGCTAAATGAAATAAGCCAGACACAATGAACACTGTAAATTTATATAATTTGTATTTATAATTTTTCCAAGCACAATAAAGCTGAGAAAGCTGAGAAAAAAAGAAGAAGTATTTCTGTGCAGTAAACAATTTGTTTCTGTTTAAGTGCAGCTTTCTTATGCAAGTACTAAAGTAGTTTACACCAAGTAAGAGATGAGAATATCAATGAGAATATCCTGTTGATCCATTTTAATTAATTGTTGATATTTTACCATTTATTGTTTACATTCAGTAGACTCACATTGTGGAACTGAAAAATTCCATGGGTACCTATAGCTTACATCACTCCAAGTAGTATGGGGAAATAGAAAGAAAATTACTTTACAGAATGTTGTAGAAAGAGCCTTTGTTGGCAGTAGGAGGAGTGGGGATAAAATCAGACTGGCTTTATATGCATATCAAAAAAGAACCACTATTTATAAGAAAAAAGAGTGTTTTTTTTTTTTTTTTTTTTTTTTTTTGAGATGGAGTCTCACTCTGTCTCCCAGGTTGGAGTGCAGTGGCACGATCTTGGCTCACTGCAACCTCCGCCTCCCAGGTTCAAGCAATTCTCCTGCCTCAGCCTCTCGAGTAGCTGGGACTACAGGTGCGTGCCACCACACTTGTATTTTTAGTAGAGACAGTGTTTCGCCATGTTGGCCAGGCTGGCCTCAAACTCCTGACCTCAGGTGATCCTCCCGCCTCAGGCTCCCAAAGTGCTGGGATTACAGGTGTGAGCCACTGAGCCCAGCCAAAGAATGCTTTTTAATGAGATATTTCAGCTCAATTTGCCTTTAAAGTCTCTCAAATGACTTTATTAACTAGGGATGTTTCAAACCTCTGTGTTCAGCAGACAAATATAATGAAGCAACGGTAGGAAAATTGACGATGTTATGGCATTCATGTGCTCGTCGTAAACACCATAGCTTATCTCCATAGTTACTATATTTAGAAAGGACATCACCAAAAAGGATGGGGAATAAATCGTCCTATGGTCCATCCAAAAAGCTATGGACTCAGTATTTGGTATGAGCAAGGAAGAAGTCTAACGGAGCAACCATTGAGCTGCAAGAGAGGCTGATTGAAAGGCTATTAGCTCAGATGCTGATTATGTAATCAGATAGGTGAGGTGATAATTTGTGTCAAGTGCTTAGGAAGCTCTTTAGACTAGAATAGTTAACAAGGGTGACTTCTTTCTGTCTAATAAATAAGGTATGAAGTACATTCCCATTAATAGATTATTTTAAAAAGAGATAAAGAGAAATCTAGGCTTCAAATTTTAAAAGGTGAATTAGGCACACAGATCTGTTTCTCTTCCTTGCCAAGTTCCCCTTGAAATTACCAAAAACATTTACAGTTGGGGGGCGGGGAGGAAGCTCTTGCAGTGCCAGAGAAATCAGAAAGGCAACAGGTAGTATACTAGAGATTTCAAAGAAATTTTGAATGGTACCAAGCAGATGAGATGGAATTGATTGAGGAAAGAAGATTGAAAACCCTAGCCCCAACAGCCAAGGGGAAAAAAGATCCTTCTTGGGGCCCTAAAGAAGCTCCAAGGAAATAGCTCAAGCGAAGGACTGAACTATGGAGCAACAATGATGATCACCACGGAATAGAGTGAATTTTGAATAGCTGAGGGCGTCTGTCACTTTCTCTCATCTCCTTCAGCATTCTGTGCTGGTGACTAGGACTCGGGCTCTTAGAGTCCTGAGAACTCCCCTCCAAATGAGGAAATCGGTTTGCCTGGAGAGGGCTCTTGGTGTAGATATTAATTCCTGAGAAAGTAAATTGTGAGGTAATGTGAATCTTCTTATGAATCATCGAGGGACAAAATAAATGAAGAGAGAAAACAAAACACACAAACAAAAAACAATACAAGCTCCATCCAGAGTGAAATACTTCTTTTGGCACTTCTAAGCACTCTGTCAGTGGAGTACTTGAAAAACAAGTAAAGGAGATGAGTGGTTTAAAAAGCACTGGTAGAACTGAGATGCAGAAGAAATTTACTCTGGAAAGCAGGGACTATGGGCTATTTAACTAGCTAAGATGCATCTGAGAAATGGCCAGGATAGGATTTATTCTGAAGAGCCTGTCATACATTATCACACAGTACACATCCACATCCATGATAAACACGTAGAACATATAGGTCAGGACCAAGTGGGTACAAGTTGACTACTATTCATCTTTAGATTAGGAATCCCTCTTCTCCTCCTCCACCTTTGCCATCAAAAAACTCATGTGCACTTTAAATATGTGATTAAACGAAGGAAAAATATCATTCTTGTTCAAAACTTTGTTTGAATGGCACTGTGTTCAAGAATTCCTTTGTTGTTATTATTATTATTATTATTATTATTATTGGAGACAGAGTTTCACTCTTGCTGCCCAGGCTGGAGTGCAATGGCACGATCTCGGCTCACCGCAACCTCCGCCTCTCCAGTTCAAGCAATTCTCCTGCCTCAGCCTCCTGAGTGGCTGGGATTACAGGCATGCGCCACCACACCTGGCTAATTTTGTATTTTTAGTAGGGACAGGGTTCCACCATGCTGGTCAGGCTGGTCTCAAACTTCCGACCTCAGGTGATCCAGCTGCCTTGGCCTCCCAAAGTGCTGGGATTACAGCCATGAGCCACTGCACCCGGCCAAGAATTCTTCTTATAATCTTCTTTTCCTGATAATGAATGTGGTCCATTGACCTTTATTTCTCCTGAAAGCACACTTTATTTCTGGAAATGCAGATAAAGCACAACACGGGAAATCTCAATTCTAATTTATTTCTTTAAGATAAGCTGTTCAGTAGTCATGAGTTACCTGTCAGGACACTTGCAAACATTGGCAAGTCTGGGTTAAAGACTCAAATAAGTAAACGTGAATGCTTTCTTCTCTCCTCTCTCGGCAGTCTTCTAGGGAGCACACCCTTCTCCAGGGAATACAGGGAAGCTTGGGTGTTGAGATTTGACAGATAAGAAGGTCTTGCAGTTATTTATAAAATCCACTTGTATAAAATAGCTTCTGGAGTGCTCAGGTTGTGTATTTCCTGTGAGTTCTGCCTTTGCAGCTGCAGCTTAGCATAAAGGTGGAAAGCTGAATAGCACACAAGCTGAATGAATAGGTTAGCTGGCAAAGGCCAGCCCTGCTTTTTTAATATTTGCACACAAATAATTAAGTACCTTATGAGCAATCCACAAGGGTAAGAAGGGAAAAATAACTTCTAGCAATGATTAGGGAATGCTTTATGGAATGGGGGCTGGATCTGAAATGGACCTCTCACAATACATAAATTTCAGTCCCTAGCACACTCTTAACATAATAGTCATTTTAAAATGCCTACATCATGCCTTATTAAAAAGTATATTCAATATTCATTGGCTGATCTTCATCTGTTTAAGATAAATTTTCAAAAAATCCAAATGACATTAGGAGTTAAGACTGATGAAAAAAGTAAATGATCAACTTTGTTTTGGTCAAAAGCAAGGTCTGGCAAGAAAAGAATAAAATTAATTATATCTGTTCATGGAAAAATAGTTGGGAAGGTGATTCCAGAGTAGAATGCCTGAACATTGGTATAATAAGTGTATCACTTCCACAAGAAGCAAAATAGAAGAATTTGCGCTATTTGGAGCAAAGTGCATTTTGTCAGGACAGAAACACATTATGGTGCTTTATTAATCACCTATGACCAACAGAGATGGACACAGAGGGGAAGATAAATTTGGTAATATTGGTAGGCAAGGGAAATTAAGTGAATATAGCCCCAGGCAGCAATGGGCCCAGGTCAAGACTCACATATCAGAAAAAAAGTCCAAAAAGATTGATGGAGAACTTGACAGTTATAAGTTGAGAATAATTCTAGGTGAAAAAACAGGAAACAATTATAATAGCATATGATTTCAACTACAATAAATAGCATTGATAGGAAAACCTATCCATCTGTCTGTCTCTCTGTCTGCCTGTCTGAAAGAAAGAGATGCCTACAAGATGGCTGAATTTCACAGGTACCGCCACAGCTGTGCAAACTGGTGGTGATCTCAGATACCTGGGAAGATTGGGAAGCAATTGCTGTAATGTCAATTCGGTTTGACTATAAACAGAAATAAAGAAAGAAGATTGTACCCAAAACCCGGGCAAAAGAAGGGATATAGAGACATTGCTGTCCGTATAATGTCTGTGGGTAACTGGCTCTTTGGCCTTCTGATATAGGAGTTGAAGGGCTTTCTAAATGCTATCAGTGGTTACTGAAATGTTTCTCCTTGCCCTGTTGGACCCTGGTGATGGGGAGAAGTAAACTAGATCAAACTGTGAACATCTTGGATAGACTAAGCCAGAGTACAGAATCACAGTTCTGGTTTCTTGAATTTAAACATGTTATCATTGGGTAGTCATATTCAGAAAAAAAATGCTAAATGTTCAAGTTAACTTGCCTGGAGTGATACTGCAAACCATTAAGAAGAAATTAATTATAGGTGCCCCCAAATTTTGCAGCATTTTACTTAATGATCATTATTTTTAGGTGCTACAAATATTTATTGAATTTTATTTTTACTTCAATACTTAGTGTTTGAAGAATGTCTTGAAATTGCCTTTCTCCCTGGCTACTGTTGTAAACACTGTTGGATTTCTACCCTATAGCTATACCTCTCCCTCCTTCCTTGCTAGCACAAACAAGCTTTTGTTCAACCTCTTTTGATTTGCAATGTCCTTCCCCAGGCTTGTGTGATGAGTTTTGATTGGCCTCTAAACCAAGAATGGCTGGTTTCATCCCTCTTGGAAAATGACTGGTTTAGGCATGGGCAAGTGATGTAATTCTGGCCAGGGAGATTTTACAAGTCTGCTGAAGACTTCTGGGAAGAAAAGGAACATATGAGAGATACGTACTCTTGTTTTGAGGATCAAGTAAGCTAATATATGTAAACCACATAGAACAGTCAATAACTGACTGACACATAACAATCTAACAATTGCTAGGGATTGCTATTGTTGATGTTGCTGTTGTAATTGTTAGGGTGTGGCATCCTTCAGTGGCCATGACACCCTAGACACGGTATAAGATGTGTACACTTCACTTTTATCAATATAGCTAAAACAAACATTAGCCTACAGTGGGTCACTGCTTATGGATGTGCACAGACACAGGAAGAGTTTTGATAAGAACTGAGAAAGTCAAGCACTCCAAAATTTTTTCAAGTGAAACATGCAGATCTGGTTCAGAGCTGACGGATGTAGGTATGGAGAAAGAGTATTCATCCCACTGTAGCCATGCAGAGTTCTGATGCCCCACAGTAGAACAAGAGAATAACATAATAATCTCACAGAACTTGTATTTTTTTTTTATAATTCTCCATTTGCTATCCCGCTCCAGCCCCCTGAACCAAATATTTCTACGTGTGTAATGTATGTATATTATGTATTGACTACATGGTAATAATAAGATTACAAGACCTGAAATTATTTAATAATATGCTCCAGAAAATGAAAATCTCAAATTTATTACAGAAGCATTTGAATTTACAGATGATTTTTATTTTCATTCACTTATTGCTAATACGAATACTAATGGAAATATTTAGAAATAGTGCAAAAGCAAAAAGTGACAAATGAGATCTAATTAACTAAAGAGCTTATGCATAGCAAAAGTAACTATCAACAGAGTAAAGAGACAACCTACAGAATGGGCAAACATTTTTGCAAACTATGCGTCTTACAAAAGTCTAATACTATCCAGCACCTATAAGAAACTTAAACAAATTTACAAGAAAAAAAACCCGCTCCATTAAAAAGTGGGCAAAATATATGAACAGATCCTTTTCAAAAGAAGACACACATGCAGCCAACAAGCATATGAAAAAACCTCAATATCACTGATCATGAGAGAAATGCAAATCAAAACCACAATGAGATACAATCTCACACCAGTCAGGATGGTTATTATTAAAAAGTCAAAAACTAATAGATGCTGGCGAGGTTGTGGAGAAAGGGAATGCTTATACACTGTTGCTGTGAGTGTAAATTAGTTCACCCATTCTGGAAAGCAGTGGCTCTTCCTTAAAGAACTTGAAACAGAACTACCATTTGACCCAGCAATCCCATTGCTGATTAAATACCCAAAGTAATATAAATCATTCTACCATAAAGACACATGCCCACATATGTTTGCTGCAGTACCATTCACAATAGCAAAGACGTGAAGTCAACCTAAATGCCCATGAGTGACAGATTGGATAAAGAAAATGTGGTACATATACACCATGAAATACTATGCAGCCACAAAGAAGAATGAGATCATGTCATTTGCAGGAATATGGATGGAGCTGGAGGCCATTACCCTTAGCAAACTAATATAGGAACAGAAAACCACATACCACGTCCTCTCACTTATTAGTGGGAGCTAAATGATGAGAACAAATGGACACAAAGAAGGGAACAAAAGACACTGGGTCTACTTGAGGGTGGGGGAGTGGAGGGAGAGGAGCAGAAAAAATAAATATTGGATATTAGGCTTAGTACCTGGGTGATGAAATAATCGTACAACGAACCTCTGTGACAGGGGGTTTTTCTACATAACAAACCTGCACGTGTGCCCCTGAACCTAAAATAAAAGTTTTTTTAAAAAAGGAAATAGTGGTTATGCAGAACACAAATGCCATTTCCTCCCTGACCTCTCAGTCAAGATGTGAAAGTATAACAAGTATGAATATTAAGTATTCTAGTTTTATATCTCATGCATATTTAAATCCTACTTAATGTTAACAAGACTCATTAATAAGCAAAAAAAAAACTTTCGGCAGCATAAAATAACACGATGCCACACTAGTTCATGACTTAAAAGTTAAAATTTATGTTAAAATATTAGCAAATGACATATCCACACTTATTTCAGTATTTGCAAATGTGTACCTGCCTTCATTCTTTAACTCGAAAAGAATCAACTTTTCTTTATAGGGATGTCAGGGGTGCTTTTGAGGAAGTTCCATTTTCCACTAGGCAGAAGATTAGACCAGATGATGCTAGAAAGGGTGTGAATTAACTCCAGCTGCTATCTAGATACTAGATGGTAGGATATTGGCCTGGCACTTTCTTGTTTAAGGCAAGGCTTCCCCCTCAACTGTATCGCAATTTCCCCTCCATAAAATAAGATGCTATATCAAAAGTTCTTTCCCAGATCTAAGATCTGAAAATCCTCTTCACAAAATGTTGCAGAAAAAATACTATGCATTTACCATATATTTTCATTTTTCTCCAGGATACACAGAAAGACTACATTTTCCAGTCTACCCTTACACATAGGTGGAGCCATATGACCCAGTTCTGGGGGACGGAGTCTGGTGTAGGTGATACATGCCACTTCCCGGCCTGATCCCTGAACTGTTCCATGCAATCTTCCACTCTCCCTCTCTTTCCCCATATGCAGGGGTGGATGTGAAGCAATATAAGATGTGAGAAGACAAATCCCCGAGGTTATTGCTGAGAGTAGAGCTACACAGGAGAAAGTCTCAACTGCAAACACCTACATCACATTTGTTGCAAACGAGAAACAAATCCATATTAAGTTACAGTACTGCAAATTTCAGGTGGTATGCTACTGCCAAAAATGAGCATTAGCCTGACTAATACAAACACACGTGTATATAAAACACACAAAGTCAGATCTACTGTCATAAATATTGACAGCAAAGGCTGAACACCAGTCAGAGCATGTCTCTTGGCTAGAATTGCGGTTTGTAATACATGGCTCTAGGAATAGATAAGGAAGAATGACAGCACCAATGCAAAACAGCATCTGAATACTTTACAGCGGAGCTAACGAGTCATTTTAAAAATGCTTTTTACCTTTTAAATCTTATAAATTCTTATGGAAATGCATACAATTGAAGCAATTACTACTTTAAAACTATGTGTTGTTGGCTGGGCACGGTGGCTCACGCCTGGAATCCCAGCACTTTGGGAGGCTGAGGCGGGTGGATCACTTGAGGTCAGGAGTTGGAGACCAGCCTGACCAATATGGTGAAACCCCGTCTCTGCTAAAAATACAAAAATTAGCAGGGCGTGGTGCCACGCGCCTGTAATCCCAGCTACTCGTAGGCTGAGGCAGGAGAATCGCTTGAACCCAGGAAGCAGAGGTTGCAGTGAGCCGAGATCATGCCACTGCACTCCAGCCTGGGTGACAGAGTGAGACTCTGTCAAAAGAAAAAAAATACTATGTGTTGTTAGGTTCAATAATGTATTAACAATGTATTTGGTTGGGTGCACAAGTAATTTCGGTTTTCTTAGATTGGGTTCAGAAGTAATTGCAAAAACCACTCTTGCTTTTATACCAAGCTAATAGATTGTCTTGAAATATAAACTACAACCCAAGCATTGGGTTTTGTATATACATACAAAAAATTAAGTGTAAAATACCATATTCTGCCTTAAAGGTATTTATAAATATCCATTTAACATTTATAACCATTATTAATATTCAATAAAATCTACAAAATAACTCTGAAACAACACTTTATAATCTCAATTTTATATAACAAGAAATGGAAATACTTTAGAAATACAGTTGGGCTGAGTGCAGTGGGTGATGTCTGTAATCCTAGCACTCTGTGAGGCCAAGGCAGGAGGATCACTTGAAGCCAGGAGTTTTAGATCAGCCTGGGAAACATACTGAGACCCTGTGTCTACAAAATCAATAAGAAAGAAAGAAGTCTGAGCAGTATTCATCATATGAAATAATATTCAAACCACTCACAGAATAATCCTTAAAAGTCAACTAAGTCCAAAGCTGTGAGAAGAGTAAAGAGGATGTATTTACTCCCTCTCTTTACATTTGTGTATATTTGAACATTTTTTGAAAAAAAATTAAAAGCTATGGGGCAGAATACAGGCTCCCCACAAAAATATCCACATCCTAATCCCCAGAGCCTACGAATATGTTTCATTATGTGTCAAAGGGGAATTAAGGTTGTAGGTAGAATTTGGACTGCTAACCACCGGATTGTGAGAAGGGGAGACTATCCTGGATTTTCTGGGTGGGTCTGATGTAATCTCAAAGATCCTAACAAACAAAACAGGGAGGAAGAAGAGTTAGAATCAGGGAAAAAGATGGGATGCCAGAAGCAGGGTTATAATAGTTCAGTGTGAGAATAATTGGACCAGCCATTATTGGCTTAAAAGATTTAGAAAGGCATCACGGGCCAAGGAATGCAGGTGGTCTCTAGACATTGGAAAAGGCAAGGAATGGATTCTGTCCTGGCACCTCCAAAAGGTGGCAGTCCTGCCAATACCTTGATATTATCCCAGTGAGACCCATTTCAGACCTCTGACTTCCTGTGAGATCATAAATGTGTGTTGTTTTAAGCCGCCCAGTTGGTAGTAATTGATTACAGCAGCATTTGAAAACTAGTACAAAAGAGGGAAAACAAGTCTTGTTGAGTATCTGTGCTTGGCACTGTAGCAGTCACTTGGAGAGATGCCAAAATGGTATGATCCCTGCCCACAAGCTGCTTACTATCTGTTCTAAGAGATAAGACTAACACAAGAAATACCTAGGGGGTAATAAAAGATGACATGTTTAGAGCTAAAATGAGGGATGCAGAGGGTAAGAGCTACTGGAATTCTGACCACATAAACAGACATAAATTACCTAGCCTGGCTTGGTCCTAACAAGTTCTGTAGGTAGAAAAGAATGGCATTGGAGAACTGCTGATGTGGTTGGGTTATCTGTCATTGCACTGTACTGCTGGCCTCACATGCTACAGATGAGATTCTGGGGTGTCTGAAGGGAGCCTGAAGTGATGGGTAGGTCTCATCTCCACAATAATGGACTGTCATTCAAAGAAGAATCACTCAGCACTGGCAACAAAAATAATCCATTAACCTATATCTTCCTGGCCTCCTAAAGAAACTCTCCCCTCAAAAAATGTCCCAGCTGAAGTTGTTGCCATACTAGCTCTGGAATGCATCGATATCATCACTCATTTTCTCATTTCAGCCCCCTACCCTTCTTTACAAGCTAACTGATACAACCATTCGGCCTCTCCAAATCCCTGCAATTTTTCTCTACATGTGGGAACTCAGCCATGGGAACTTAGATGGCTTCACCATCCTACGCTTTGGGGTCCTAATCTGTAAAATGAAAAGGATACTAGCATCTATCCCATAGGGTAGTCGGATGTGAGGATTGAGACACAGTAAGAGAAAGTGTTTATTACACTACCAGGAAAGTCCTCAATTAAAGTGCAGTACGATTGTTATCGTTCATTGATGCTAATTGATCATAAATAGAGTAATTATATGCCAAGTTTGCGTGTGACATTTCAGCTTTAAACTTGTGGTCTCAACTTAGTTATCAATAGCATCCCTTTTCCTTCACAAAATGTTCCCACACTCTACCTTAACGATAAGGAACAAGACAAGAAGGCAATTGTTAGAACTCAGTCATCATATTAGTATAGGCAGAAAAGATGATTTACAGTAAAACATCTGCCTCAGCTTGTTAAATCCTGACTGCCTAAGGAACAGGGTTGGTGCTAGAACCAGTGACACGACTGAGTTTCTGCAACAAGCCAAGGGTATCAAAAAGCCATGAGTATATGACTTCAGAGAGATGTGATATTTTTCGTCTCCTTGAACATTTTTTTCTTCACCCTCCCTAATCCAGAGAGAAAGTGGGGATTAGAGAGCTAACTCTGCTGCCATTTGATTATTTCAAGTAGGTATTTTTGTCTGTCTACCTAGAAAGAACAAAGTCAAATCCTTTTGATATCGAATTGCCTTGACGCTTTAAAGCACCGGAGCTGTGATTATGGTCTGAAAATAGCTCTTGACATAAAACACAGATTAAAGATTCAGGTGAGTTTAGAGATGGGTTCTCCTGAGTTTTAAGGAGGCTAAAATCAGGGTTAGACCAAACAACAATTTAGTATAGGGATAAGATAAGGAGTTATATCTGAACATTTATTCTTTATAATAGCTTTTCCTTTAGAACTATCTCTTTCAATCTTTACATTCATAATTTTATGTCTGTCTCTATTTCTCTATAAGTATATATGTGTGTATCCATGCTACACTGCAGAAAATAAGCATAAAAATAAAACACATGAAGCATGCATGCTTGTACGTGCTTCATGAACATTTTGAAAGAGTATATCTCTGGAGAGTGAGAAAGGAGAGATTCATGGGGGTAGGTAAATTTTATACTTTACTGTATAGTTAATATGCTTCTGTGTCATTTTACTGTCTTTACAATAAGCATGTCACTTTTGTAATTTAAAAAAGTCAAAATGTTATTATTTTGATTTTTAAGCGTAACTAGGTGGAAAAGGCATGTAAATATTCCTTCTAGGATTAGGTATTCATAGACAAGATTGTTTGACCAAAAGAGTAAGGTTATAAATTGACATAATATGTTAATTGAAGGTCAAATAAGAGGAAATAAACAGCCTATTGATAGCATAACAGCTCCACCTTATAACATCCATACTCAAAAAACCCATTTACTTCTTAAAACCTATGAAATTGTGGCAAGAATTCTAAAAGACCCCATTGTTGTATGAACTCTATAGAATCCTTTCCCCTTGAATATGGGCAATACTTGAATACGATAGGATTTCACTCACATGAGTATGTGAGTATGCTAGGAAACAAGGAAAGGTAAAGGGATTTTGTAGATATAATGAACTGAGGTCTCTATTAAATTGACTTTAAGTTAATCAAAAGGGAGATTTTCCTTGGTGAGCCCTTCAAAACTGAGCCCAGAGCTCAGAGACAGGAGAAGCAGCAGAAGATACTTTCCTTTGACCGTCATGTTGTATAGTGCAACATGCGACAGGGAATGGCAAAAAGACTAAATGCTGAAAGCCTTGTTCTACAGACCCAAGACACTGAATTCTGCCAATTACCAACGAGCTTGGGAGAAAAATCCAAACTTCAGATGAGACCACAGCCCTGCCAGACATCTTGGTTGCAGCTTGTTCAGACCCTGAGCAGAGAATCCAGCTAAGTGTGCCTGGACTCCTGACCCACGTAAACTGTGAGACAAGTGTGTGCTGTTTTAAGCTGTTAATTATGTGCTAATTTGTCAGACAATGATATAAAACTAACACAAGGATTATATCAAGTTTCTTGCCTGGCATTCAAGACCAGCCTCCATTTCTTGTTTTCACAAAATCATCTTCTTCTGCTCTTTCTTGTAGCCCAAGATATTTATCTATACAAGGACACATAAATATGCAGTCACCCTCCACATGCTTGCTCATACCATTACCTCAGAAAGAGATGACATAGAGGAATGGTTAAATGCATGGGTAGTAGACCAGTGCTGTCCACCAGAAATGTCTGTGATGATGGAAATGTTCTATATTTATGCTGTCCACTATGGTAGCCACTAGCCAAATATGGCTCTTGAGCATTTGAAATGTGGTTAGTACAACCAAGGAACTGAATTTTAATTCTATTTAATTTCAGTACATTTAAATTTAAATAGACACCAGTGACTTCCAGATTGAGCAGGACAATTCTAGAGTCAGACAATCTGAGTCCAGCTTCCAGCTCCACTACTTAGTTATATGATCTTGCATAAGTTCTTTCACCTACTTGTGCCTCAGTTTTCTAATGATTTGGTCTTCCTCATCGGGTTGTTGTGAGCCTTAAATGAGTTACTACTTGTGATGTAGTCAAAAGAGCACCTTGTACATAGTAAGCATCATATATGTTTGTCAAATAAATAAGTAGATTCTACTACCCTTCTTTCCCATACAAATTCTAACATTTATTCTTTAAGCCCTAGAGATTCTTCTGTCTTCACATGAAATTTTTGGGATCACTCCAAACCACGCAATACTAATTGTCTGTCACATTACTTTGGCATGTAATTACATACTGCTGTGAATTGTTATTTAAATATTTGTGGGTATATTTTCTTTCTCCAAGACCGACATGTGCCTTTTGTATCTCTCATAGTGCTGAATACCCATAAGTTTATCTAAAACACATTCAATAAATATTTGTTGACATTTGTATAAGGCCTTGAATTAGAGATAAAAGAGATGGCAGAGACAATGACCAGAGATATTGCCAGTACTGTACTTTTCTTTTTTTTTTTTTTTTTTTTTGTGATGGAGTTTTGCTTTTGTTGCCCTAGCTGGAGTGCAATGGCGCAATCTCGGCTCACGGCAACCTCTGCCTCCCGGGTTCAAGTGATTCTCCTGTCTCAGCCCCTCGAGTAGCTGGGATTACAGGTGCCTGCCACCACATCCAGCTAATTTTTGTATTTTTAGTAGAGACGGGGTTTCATCATATTGGTCAGGCTGGTCTCGAACTCCTGACCTCAGGTGATCTGCCTGCCTCTGCCTCCCAAAGTGCGGGGATTAGAAGTGTGAGCCACCGTGCCCAGCCTGTACATTTTTTTATACAACTAAGATGTTGCTAGGCTTAAGAAATGTAGCATCTTTAAAAAATATACCGTCAAGATTCTAGCTGTCAGGACCTAAGAGAGAGAGAGAAGTTTGGACCCGCAAATGAGAATTTTGTAAAAATAGAGTATGGAGGCAATGACCCCGAGGAGGAATTTGTACCCAGCTAGTTCACAAACACTCCCCAAAACCATGCCCAGACCATTCTCTGGAGGGCAGAGATCCAGCCTCCTTCCTTGGAGATTAGAAATTGTCAGTCCAAAGAGGTTTTGTCCCTTTATATCCTGGGAGGTAAGCTTTGCTGTAAGCCCTTGGAAAAGCCACAAGACCCATTGGAAATTAGTCCTGTTGGACCAAGACCCCAATCTCAAACTCCATCTGAAGGCCTGCTCCATTCTTACCTTATGCTCAGCAAAACAGACTTTTGTGCACTGTTTCTATCTAGACTTTTCTTGGGGATCCTGCTGCAATCTGCCAAATCATTTTAAATTACTTTGCCTCCCACCTAAGAATAAGATTTTGGTTCCAGTTCTGTCAACTTATCCACAAGTGCCCCCACCACTTCTCTATCTGCCTAGATCTCTAGCTTAAGCTCTGCCTATGCTATGACCTGTTTTGTCTTTAGGCAGCTTGACCACCTCTCCCTTCTACTTGAATCCACAATGACCTGGGAGGCTACAGTTTTGCCGTACATCAGGCACACAATTCCAAGAGCTTCCTAAGTGATTCAGTGGGGGGAGTTATCAGGTACTGGGGGCGGGAGAATGAGAAAGATGCTATAATCACTCCTTTCTCAAATTATAGCACATCACAACTCAACTTTGTGCCATGTGCATGTGATAAAGTGACAAAAAGTTTTCTCAAGTAGCTCACTTAAGCTCATAGTCTACTCTCCTTTGTAATCAACCATCTCTGTTTTTTTTATGACTATAAATATTCTCCTAATTTTAAGAAAAGCCAATAGACTTTCACAGCCAGGCATTTCCATTTACACTTAAGTACATTTCTCCATATAATCTTTAACTATCGAGTTGGTTAAGGAAGAAAATAGAAGTATTAAACCCTCCACAGGGAAACAGTAGCAAAATAGTAAAAATAAATGGATTTAAGAAAAGCAGCAGACTTGGCAACTGAAATATTGCTCATCATGAAGACTTTCTCTGACTTTATTATTCATTACTAACGTAGCCTCTTTTTGCTGCATATAGTATACCATATTGGAAATAAACACTCATTCTACTCATTCTATAACATGGTAAGAGAATGCGAATCATAAATCTTATTAGTAAATCCCAGTAACTTTTAGTCATTTAATACTAAAAAATTAAACACAATATTCTCTTTGTTATTTTGCATCATGATTTAAAACAAGAAATACAATTATAAAAAAAGTTTAGTTTAACTATAAGCCATAAGAACTCTTCCCTTACATATTTTAAGCATAATTAATATTTTAAAAACATTTTGGAATTGCATAAATATTTCTATTTTCTTCTTGGAAATGAATTCTATCCATCAATAACTTATACCAGTTGTATTATAATCTGCCTACCAAAATGCCAATTCAAATTCCACTGCAAGGAAGGCCAGAATTAACTGGTAAAAAAGAGTTAAATAAATATACTTCTATTACAAGAACATAAAATAAGACAAACATCTAATTATCAAAGTATTTCTAAGCATTTTCCTCATCTGGTAATAAAGATAATGCTGCCTTTTAGATGTGTTTGGAGCAATAAAGGAGATTATGTATATCAAGCATGTTGCAATGGGACTAGAATAGACATTTAATAGAAATAGCAGTTGTATCATCATTGGAAACCTAGTGCCCCAAGTTTCTAGCTTTCTAGAAATCACCTTTCTTAAACATCTAAGTAAAATAACTTGCAACTTCACCCCAGTGACCATGAGTAATATAGAGCCCTCCTGTGTATTCTGAATGATTCCTGAAGAGTATGAATTTATCTGTTCCACTTGTTTCTTTTGGTTCCATACTGCTGCTTCCAGTGTCTCTGGATCACTCCTGAATCTCATCTATCTGCTTACCATTAAGTCAAGCCACACCAGCTCTCAAAAACTTCTGTCTGAATGCAACAGTAGCGTCCCTTTCTCCCCTCCCCAAGGTAGTGTTAACACGAGCCTGCGATCAGGTTTGGTGGTTAACACATTGTACTGGAAATTTGAGAATTTTGTAAGAATATTACAATTCAGAAAGGAAAATTTAGCTTAATATCAGAAATAGCTGCTCCCAAAACCCACAGGACACATAACAATATGTAGGGTCTCTTGCAAGCCAGCTGCTAGAGTTTCTTCTCCTGATATCTTTCTCTTGAATACATTTGTCCTAGGTCAGGCCAGAGGAAATAGAAAATCTCTAGATATCAACAAGGGCTTGGATTCCCAACCCCACACCCCTACCAAAAGTATATCTTTATATTATTAGAATAAGTTAGCATCCCACTGTGATTTATTTACACTTAGATTACTTTCAATATCAAAGGACAAAGAATAAGTACTTAACATTCTTCTGCATGACAATAAGGCTCACAAGTAATCCCTTCTAGAAGGACGAGAAAGGCACAGCCCCATTTTTACTTTTCCAGCCCCAGGAAGCTAATTTCCTGCAATTTTGGAAAAGCAGTTTTATCCCTACTACCAGTCATCAAAGAATCAGAAATATCGAGGTTCTGTCTTGGACCACCTCACTACAATATGAGTAACATTATGAGGTCTTGCCAGACAATTTCAGCAAATGGATTTTTAAAAAATCATTTAAAATTAGTACATTAACTGTTTTTATGCAAATAGGAGCTGCCAAGTTTCAATTAGGAAGCAGTTGGTTGCTAAAGTAAGCCAACAATTACCTTGCAGATTTGTTGAGGTTTTTCTTAGATAGTACAAAGATAAACTTCAGGCTACCCTGCATTCAAATGATCAAAAAAAATCCAATTAATGAACTTTTGCCAAACTGTAAAGACAGGCTTTATTTCTTCCTAATGTTAGCCCCAAAACAATCCAGAGAGATTGTATTTAGATCTAGTGGCAGAATTCTATAGCAGACAAAGAATTTATATAATTTTGAGTTTAGCCTGTAGTTTTATAAAAGAAAAAAAAAAGCCTTAAGAGTTAGCTGCTTAGGTTTACAGAGCTATTAAGTGGCTTCTGTGCCAGTTTGTATATTTTTTGTCAAAAGGCAAGATTTCTAAGATGATATTGCTTTAGCTAAATATATCTCTTTGAATTAGTGTCACCTGGATATGGAATGTTAATTCTCATGTTAAAAAAGAATATGACTTCAAACTATATTGCAGGGCTACAGTAACCAAAACAGCATGGTACTGGTACAAAAACAGACGCATAGACCAATGGAACAGAAGAGAGAGCCCAGAAGTAAGGCTGCACATCTACAGCCATCTGATCTTTGACAAAGCTGACAAAAATAAGCAATGAGGAAAGGACCCCCTATTCAATAAATGATGCTGGAATAACGGGCTGGCCACATGCAGAAGATTGAAACTGGATCCCTTCTGTATACCATATACAAAGATCAACTCAAGATGGATTAAAGACTTAAGTGTAAAACCCAAAATCATAAAAACCCTGGAAGATAACTTAGGCAATACCATTCTGGACATAGGATCTGGCCAAGATTTCATGGTGTTACAGATCCCAAAAGCAATTGCAACAAAAACAAAAATTCCCAAATGTGACCTAATTGAAGAGCTTCTATACAACAAAAGAAACTGACAATAGAGTAAAGCGACAACTTACAGAATGGGAACTTATATTTGCAAACTATACATTCAACAGAGGTCTAATATCCAGAACCTATAAGAAACTTCAACAAATTTATAAGCAAAAAACAAACAACTTCATTAAAAAGTCAGAAAAGAACATGAATACTTTTTTCAAAAGAAGACACACGTGCAACCAACAGTTATATGAAAAAAGGTCAACATCACTAATCATTAGAGAAATGCAAATTAAAACCATAATGAGATACCATCTTACCCCAGTCAGGATGGCTATTGTTAAAAAATCAAAAGATAACAGATGCTGGCAAGGTTGCAGAGAAAAGGGAATGCTTATATGCTGTTGGTGGAAATGTAAACTAGTTCAACCATTATGAAAAGCAGTGGGGTGATTACTCAAAGGATAAACAGAACTACCATCGGACCCAGCAATCCTATTACTGGGTATATACCCAAAGGAATAGAAATCGTTCTATCATGAAGACACATGCACGTGTATGTTCACTGCAGCACTATTCACAATAGCAAAGACATGGAGTCAACCTAAATGCCTATCAATGACAGATTGGTCAAAGAAAATGTGGTACATATACACCATGGAATACTATGCAGCCATAAAAAATGAGATCATGCCCTTTGCAGGAACATGGATGGAGCTGTAGGCCATTATCCTTAGCGAACTAATGCAGGAACAGAAAACCAAATACTGTATGTTCTTGCTTTTAAGTGGGAACTAAATGATGAGAACACATGGACACATATAGGGGAGCAAGGCACACTGGCGCCTATAAGATGGTGGAGGGTGGGAGGAGGCAGAGGATCAGGAAAAATAACTAGTGGGTACTAGGATTAATACATGGGTGACAATAATCTGTACAACAAACCCCCATGACATGAGTTTACCTATATAACAAACCTGCACATGTACCCCTGAACCTAAAATAAAAGTTAACATAAAAGAATGCCCACAGGTAGGCAATTGAGGGCTACTATGATGGTTCTACATGGTCCTTAGGGACCCCAGCATGTTCTGGGAATGATTTCCACAACCCTAGATGGTAGCCCTAGTCTTTATGGTCCAAGATGGCCATGGAAACAGTATCAAAGGAGTGCAGAACAAGGGCATTCATCTCCTTTTTAAAGAAGACTTCCCATAGCTCCCAAATGACACTTCCACTCTCATTGGCCAGAACTTAGTGACAGGGCTTTGCTTAGCTGCAACGAAGTTGACAATGATAGTGTTCATTCTGGGAGGCAATGTCCTGGAATAAAAATTGGGCTCCTTTGACTAACCGTAAAAGGCTACTGGTAATGTAAAATCTGCTGTAGTAGCTTTTGCTTGTCTTAAGGTCCATCTTGTTCTGAGGATGACTTTATATTTACAATGACACTCACTTCTATTACTGGTGGCTCTAAGATTCAGAGAAATGAGATAACTATACATGGTCTGGTTTCTTGGATTATATCTCACATAGGAGAAATTCAAGATTAAGTCTAAGCCACAGTAATAATGGGGAACCAAAGAGGTCTGGGTATTTTTAGCTAACCAGTTGGTGCAGGCCTGCCAGAAATATATTTTTCTAAAGGAATAAGCAACTTCCTAGCAGATGATCCCCCTTAAGGAAAAAGTCATCCATTTGTTGTTCTGATTTCTTTCATGTATTCAACAAATGTTTATTGAGCATATGCTATATGACAGTCATTTAAAATGCAGCAAAAACAAACGCGGTTCCTGCATACAGACCAATCTAGTGAGGAAGTTAGTCATTAAAAAGAAGTAAACAATAGGCCAGGCGAGGTGGCTCACCACGCCTGTAATCCCAGCACTTTGGGAGGCCGAGATGGGCAGACCACCTGAGGTCAGGAGTTAGAGACCAGCCTGGCCAACATGGTGAAACCGCGTCTCTATTAAAAATACAAAAAATTAGCCGGGCGTGGTGACAGGCGCCTGTAATCCCAGCTACTCGGGAGGCTGAAACAGGAGAATCGCTTGAACCTGGGAGGTGGAGGTTGCAGTGAGCTGAGATCGCGCCATTGCCCTCCAGCCTGGGCAACAAGAGCGAGACTTCATCAAAAAAAAAAAAAAAAAAAAAAAAAAGAAGAAGTAAAAGAAGTAAACAATAAATAAAGTAACTAAATACAATGTTATAAATTGTGTTAAATGCCATGGAGTAATAAAACAGGAGTCTGCACTATAGAAGAAAAGAAAGGGCACCTACTCAGAACACTGAAGGCAAATAAAATAACTAAATACAATGTTATAAATTGTGTTAAATGCCATGGAGTAATAAAACAGGAGTCTGCACTACGAAAGAAAGATAGGGCACCTACTCAGAACACTGAAGGCAACATGACCAGGAAAGGTATTTATTGCAAGAATGTGGCTTCTTTGTGTTGGTGAAAAAGTTGGAAACATCTTAGGAGAATTGCTACATATAATTCGATGTATTTATATGATGACTACTATGTTCCAGTTAAACTGAAAGAGTCATTAAATAGGTGTCTATGTATCAACATGGAAAAATCTAAAAGAAATTAGTTAAAATAGATAATAATACATACATTATTTTTCTCACAAAACGAGCCTATATATTGCCCATGAGTAAATATGTAGGTAGTTATCTACAAGAAACTGGATCTATGCACATCAACATGTCTGCATTTGGGGAGAGGTAAAAAGAATGAAACTGGTGAGAAGATACAAACCAACTTCATCTTTATGTTGTTTATTTTTATATTGATAATATTGTTCACATTTGCTTCTGGTCTTTTTAACACAGTCAATTGACATGGTAGGAACAAGGGATCTTGTATGTTATTGTCTATATTTCTCTTCTCTTTTTTTTTCATTCCTTCATTATCTTAATTAAAACAAAAAGATAAAGAACTTTTTGACCTACCAAGGAGTAAGGATCCTACTGTTAATATTTTTCCTTGGACTCACACGTTTGTGTTCTGCCACTTGCTGTATTCATGTCACAAAGTATAAATGACAATTAAATTCACACACACACACACACACACACACGCACATTTTCTCACAAGCCAGGTGAAGCTACAATAAGAGAATTGGTTTTTCTATGATGAAGACTATTACTTCGTAATACCTCTAAATCCAGTTACTTTTGATATATTAGACATTGTCTGGGCTTAGAAAGAATACATACAATGTATGACTAAGCAGAATTGAACTTGAGGGGGAATCAAACCTAACATTTCTTCTCAATTTGAAGTGAATTTCACTTTTGACAAACTGTGAGGCAGTTATGCTACTCACCCAGATAGGAGATACTAATGGCCATTTTTCTCCTAATTAATTAATAAGGAATTAAAGTATACAGCAATACCCCATAAGGAGTTCATTAAGTGACAGACATTTTGTATACTGAATAGATCAAATTACTACAGAAAGCATGAGGGTACAGTTAAAAACGTCTGTGATAATAGCTATAATTTATTGACTGCCTACTGGTGGGCAATTGGTGGTGATCATGTTAACGCTTTTCAACACACTGTGGTTTCATAACTAATTAAGAAGTAAATGCAAGTATCAGACAGATGGAGCTCAAAATACCAGGTTCATTACTGTTAACAATAAATTCAATAACTTGGTTTGGTCTATGGCCATAATTGGACTTCCCGGCAAAGACTTCTGAATTAAATTTAGCCATCCAGTCCCAGGCAGTGCTGGGCATAATCTGAGAGTAGGTGGCCCTGGAAAGAAAAAAGGACACAAACATCACTGAGCTAATCTTGTTCAGATTCTTCTCTCAAACTCACCAGGGAGATCACTTCTTTCTTGGAGTCAGGAGGAGGAGAAGGAGAAGGGAGGCAGGGAGGAGGAGGAGGAGGAGGAGGAGGAGGAGGAGGAGGAGGAGGAGGAGGAGGAGGAGGAGGAGGAGGAGGAGGAGGAGGAGGCAGAAGAAGAGAAAGTGAGAGAAAGAGAGAGAGAGACCCACTCTTCCTATTATTTCCAGAAGGACGGTATTCCCTACTCTATGGATCAAGCTAAGAACACTTGGAGGATAATATGCTTTCCTTTTCACCTACTAAATGCTAGGCACTGTATGAAACATTTTATATCTTTTTTCTGTGTTTCTCACAACAATACTCACTAGGTCAGTATAATTATCCAGACTTTACAAAAGAGGAAAGTGAGACTCAGGGAATTTAAAACATGCCCACACTCCTACTCACATTCTTGGTTAGATAGTTGAGCTGGAATTCAAATCCAGATCTGTTTGACTCCAAAGCCCACATACTTTCTACTATCTGCACTTTATGCAAATGAAATCACCAAATTCCCCTTTTAAATAATTAAAGTAATGTAGATGGGGCATAAAAATGTCACTAGTCCTTTCAACTTTCTTGGATAATTGGGGCTTGTCAATCACATCTATTTGGTTCAGCATTAGATTATGTCAAATGAAATGTCTTTTCACAAAAACCTATTGTTTAATTTTAAGTTAATTCACCTTTGTAAATCTGAGAGGCTTAGTCCCATTCTGCCTTGGGTGTGTACACACAGTACCTATTAGCAATTAAAATGAGTTATAAATGCGTCAAGAAGAGATCCTGCAGCTGAAATCCAGGTCAGCTTACATGAAATGGATATATATCTTCCTCTTCTGAATGTTCATTAGATGTTCTATTTTATCTTCAAAAGTTAGTAGCAGAAATTTTCTTGAAGTTGACACTTATAGGTCAAGTGAGCTTCATGATAATGTTCTCAGCCCCCATGCATCAGAGGCCTACTCTGAAGGACTTATATAACTCTACTCAAAATTTTGAAACGAAGAAGATGCGAAATGAAAGAGAAAAAAAAACTATTTATGGACCCGGGTCTCCCTGCAATATCCTCAAAATTATTCAGTAGATCTAGTAAATGATAGCATGAAAAGTAAGCTACTTCAGATTTCCTTAAGTTTGATATTTTAGCATGTATGTGAAAATAATGAAGTAAATCTTTCTAAACTCAATACTGAGATTTGTGTTCATTTTTTTAAATTCAATAACTATTTACCAAGCATTTTATTCCATTTTATATAGTTCATCCCAAAGCACAACATAAGCAATAAAATTTTAGTTAAAAGAATTTGAAAATAAAATGGTACTGCTTAATGTGGCTGACCAAGCATGCACTTTTTGCAGGCCTATTATAACATGGTTCATAAGCAGAGTGTATTGTGCAATGGTAAATTTTAACGCTGAACATCAATGAAAAAATATAATTCTAAAATTAAAGCATCAAAACATTAAACAACCAAGCAGAGGCATTTACATGAGAGTTGGGAGATGTGAATTTTTCTTTTGACTCTGCCTGTATGACTGAATAAAATCACTTCACCTCTCTGAGCCTCATTTTCCCCATCTATAAAATGAAGATGTTGGACTAGAATGGATCTTGCCATTTACATCAGATTCCCTTGAGAGTCCTATAAAAGTACCATTCCCAGACTTCACCTTCAGAAAGTTCTATTCGGTAAGATTTTAGAGGAGCTCAGAAATCTTCCTGTTTAACAAGGGCCCAGGGGATGTGGATGTTGGAGATGAACACAAACTACAAAATAAGGTACGCTGAAGCTAGATCCCCTTCCCATCCTACCATTCTAATAGCCTATGGAAATTTGAGTAAAAATAACAATTATGGCTGGGCACGGTGGCTCACACCTGTAATCCCAGCACTTTGGGAGGCCAAGGCAGGTCATGAGGTCAAGAGATTGAGACCATCCTGGCCAACATGGTGAAACCCCGTCTCTCCTAAAAATACAAAAATTAGCTGGGCATGGTGGCGTGCGTGCCTGTAGTCCCAACTACTCGGGAGGCTGAGGCAGGAGATTTGCTTGAACCCGGGAGGCAGAGGTTGCAGTGAGCTGAGATTGCACCACTGCACTCCAGCCTGGCATCAGAGCGAGACTGTCGAACAAAAAAAAAAACATGATGATATCTTTATCGTAGAAACTTATATGTAGTGATAACCCATTTCAAGTAATCATTTTATCATAATATAAACTGCTCCCTGTAGTGTTTATACTTTTTGTTGATAAAACATCTAACTGTGAATGAAGGAATTCCCAAATCAATTATAAAAGAAAGAAAAGAAGGAAGGAAGGGAGGAAACAGGGAAAGGAAGGTATTGATAGATAGGCACATACATAAAACACAAACTCTTAGGCTATCAAGTGCTTTTATACCCAAAATAATCATCAGCATTTTGCAAGTAGAAAATTCTTAAACATTACATTACTTTGGTATTTCAATGAAAGATAAGAATTGAACACGCATGAAAGAAGCTTTGTAAGCCTGCAGTTTAATTGTAGATCACTTGCCCTGTTCCCCTATTATTTTGAGACTTTTTACATAGAATTATCAGTTACAGTAATTTATTAAGGTGGGTTTTTAAAATTATTTAAGGTACTGATATGGTTTGGCTGTGTCCCCATCCAAATCTCATCTTGAATTGTAGTTCCCATAATTCCCACGTTTTGTGGGAGGGACCTGGTGAGAGATAATAGAATCATGGGGTGGTTTCCCCCATACTGTTCTCGTGGTAGTAAGTCTCATGATGAGATCTGTTAATTTTATAAGGGGTTTCCCCTTTCACTTGGTTCTCATTCTCTCTTGTCTGCCGCCATGTAAGACATGGCTTTCACCTTCTGCCATAATTGTGAGGCCTCCCAGCCATGTGGAACTGTGAGTCCATTAAACCTCTCTTTTTTTTTTTTTTTTAAATAAATTTCCCAGTCTTGGGTATGTTTTTATTAGCAGTGTGAGAACAGACTAATACAGGTGCTTTGCATATTAACACTGAAAATTGATCAAGAAGTTGGATGTTTAATTTAATATAGGTATTATGGTCCATCTGTGTCCTTGAACTCTACTTTAGCCAAACCACATACTTAAAAACCATAGAGAAACACAACTTGATGAAGCCAGGTAAGCTGTGATCTACATCACCACTGCAGCTCAAGAATGAATTTGGCTAATGGCCATAGCAAAGATAACAAATCAACAATTTCATTGGAATTCAATACACCCCAATGTTGCAATATAAATCAAAGCAGATCCATTCAGAACCTTCAGTAAATCATATGACATTTGAATTCCAAGCAACTGGAACTTTACAGCAGGGATCCAGGTTTAGTCAAAATTGTTATACAATGTTTATTTATATTCAAGTATAGGAGTTACCTGAAATTGAGTGATTATATTTTTTAAAATTGTAACCAGAACATCAGTTCATTAATTTGACAGTTGTCTTTCCATGCTGCAAATAATAACCAGCGTTCATCATTTAGCAGTCATGTACAGCGCTCCCTACATATTAGTATTTTTATTGAAAAATACATTAAACAGTTCAATATATTCAAATTAAGGCAAATAAATTTTCCAGTTCTAATTGTGCCATTCTCTAACCTCGGTCAACTAGACCTATATATGAAAAGCTAAAGGATCAGCATACTGAATTTATTATTCTGAAGCAACGATGTGTAGCAAAAAAAAATAAGCTTGCTTTTGCCTCCTTTCAAAATATTAATAAAGTGACACTGACCCCACTCCTGTACTTGTGTTGCTGTGGTGATGCCCACGGTGGAAGAAAAATTTGGTGATAATTATGCTTTCAATATTGGCATGGTTTCCTGAGATTCCCGCAAAGTGATGCTTTCAAGATGCTGCATATAATTCTTCCACCTCAGAGACACTTCAGGCTATTCTTCTAAGAGAACTTCAGGTGTATTTAGGTAATCTAAAACTCATAAAACTTGAGGCTCATTTTCTTTTCAATTTGCTTAGGAATATAGTGAGACCAAAGGCAGATGCAAAAGTTACTTAATATATGTCCTGGGGCCGTTACATCTGACTAAGAGGTTACCTGACCTACCATAATCAGGTGAAGAGGGTTGTATTCCAAATGTCATTGTACTGTCACTTAAGAAACTGCCTGGGAGATGAAAAATAGAAGGGGACAAAAATAATTGATATCACATCTGAGTAATAAGTCATCAGGATTCAAGGTAAAAAACATCCATTCTCCTCACATTGATTTGCAATGATGGTTGAATGCGGCATCCAGTTATTACTGGAAATGATTTTATTTACATTCTAGATCTTACTTGCCTCATTTCTAAACCTACAATTTTGAAACTCTGCTTCATTTTGTGCAAATCACAACTTCAGGTAGATCTGGGGTATGTCATCCTTGCCATTTTGTTCATATTAATAGACTAGTCCTCTTCACAAATGATGACATTTTTAAAAATCAGAACTACTTAGTGCAAATCCTGAGTAGCTGCTCCTCTGACCGTAACTCTTTAGAACTGGGCATCTTCTATGCAGACATTTTTGAATTTTCCAGCAGAGTCAGCATTAAACTCTCTACCACAGCACATACTTTACCATATATTTATACTAGCCAAACATAAATACATAAATAAAATCAACAGAACTTATTACAGAGGCTCAACTGCATTATACCATTCCAATAAAGTGCAATGTCAAACCTAATAAATTTGGCTTCCTCCTGAACACATTAGGTTGTAACTCCAAACCAAAATATGACTTCCAGCTGCAGCAAAATTCATAAGATAGAATGTGTCAGGATAGATGAAATACCTACTAATGCTGTCCTGAGCCTTATCTGTTAAATTTGTGGCTTTTGCCATGTATATGTGCTCCCAAGTCTAGTAAGCTTAAATGTGGTTCTTACTGATAAATCACTGGACTCAGTCAAAAAAGAGGGAGAGCCAGAGCCCTTAGAGAACAGGTATCATTAATAAGTGGCACTTGGTGTAATTGATGGGGGCACCATAAGTCTTTCTATAACTTTGTAAGACATGCAGTTGTCTTTTCCTTCTATTTCTGTACTTCCCCTCTTGATCTACTGCCTCTTTTCTCCTTTCTATCCCATTTTCCTTCCTTTCCTGCCCATTCCAGCGTGGCAGTGTTATTCAAACTGTAAGAGGCAATCTACAGTCACTCCTGAGTTCAGTTTAGTGGGCCACAGCCAAGCATTTAAAAAATCGACTACAATAGAATAATATTTCATTATATATTGTTATATTACTTATTACATTTATATAATTACACGTATGTATATATAGTATACATATGCACATTACACACACACACAAAAGCCAGTGACGCTGCTAATCCTTCTACATTGCATAGGGCAGCCCCCACAACAAATAATCATTTGACCAAATATATCAACAGTGTTGAGTTTGAGCCCTGATGTATACATATATGTAACTATTTGAAAACATCTGTAAAATGAAAGATGGAATTTTTTTGAAGTTATTTTAAATGTTTGACATTACATGGCTCCAACTAGAATCATAAATATTTTTTCTAATGCTAATTCTGTTATCCAACTTAAATTAAGATGTTGGTTTCTGACTAAAATCAACCATTTCACCAAGAATGGGAGTAAGGGTAAGTTACTTAAATTTTCTGAGTCTCACTTTCCTCTTTTGTAAAGTCTGGCTAATCATACTGGCCTGTTGAGGATTGTCATGAGAAACATAGAAAACAGATATAAAATATTTTGTATAACTTATTTATTTTAAGAAGTGAGTTAAAAATTTTTTTAGTTTAAGATTTATTTGCACATACATGTACCACCGTTCAATTTTCAAGAGTTCTGTATACATCCCATCCTTACTGACTCCACATAGCAGGTGCCAGTTTTACACATGGGGAACTGAAATTGGTGTAATGCTGTTTTTGTCCCATTGTGAGAAAGTAGCACGGGTGGAATTTGAACCCAGGTCATTGGGCTCCAAGGGCTTGGATATGTATTTGATTAAAAGAAAAACTGCCCTGGGTCTTGGCCCAGCACTATTTCAATCAGGCCAAAATGCCTGCCAAATAATCCAAATAATTGAATTGAATTGAAAAATATCCACCTTTTCAATAACATCAGGAACAAAAGTCTACAATATCCTGTAAACTATAATTACTAATATTAAGGGCATGTCCGCTTTGTTGCGTTTCTTTATTTAGGAATTTGTTCTGTGGCACTCTTCTTTGAAACCTTTGGTTGGAAAGAAACTATGTTCACTGAAAATGCAGCACATTTTGTCTTCTTTTATATGTTTTAAAGCTTTCTAGTTCTGGATAGGTGTGAAGAAGTTGAAAAAGCAACATTCTCAGGTAAATTACGTACTACACAGTAATAGGACATCCTTTACATCATCCTGGAAACATATGCGCTTTTTATCTCACTCATCGCAGGTGAAATTTCTGGTTTTCTTCTAACCTTAGAATGAAATTATAAAAACCCAGGCAAGATTTAGTTTTATTTCTCTGTTTTTCCACTAGTTTTCCAATCGGGATCTCTATGTTGTTTAGTAACACGAACTTCACAATAGAAAGTAGCTTACAGTAAACCAAACCCCCACCACATGCAATTTACCTATATAACAAACTTGCACACGTACACCTGAACCTAAAATAAAAGTTTTTCAAAAAGAAAACAGCACATGGATATAAAGATACATTTACAGTGCTAGTATAAAGAAGAATAATGTGATTTTTATTAATGAACAGAAGTACATTAATATGGTGTCTCTAGTATTCAATTCTATTTGGAAATTTTCCTCTAACACAGAAGCTTTTAGAAAATTCAGCATAAAGCAGCTTTCAAATAAATTGGCATATTTAAATTTTTCACAGACTTCAAACTCTCCTCCATTATAACTGTCTATGCAAAACCCTCTCAGAAAGTTTTATATTGCTCATCAATTTTCGTGTCTGTGCATTCAAAGCACAGCTATCCACCTACTTGAAAATTTTATGCTGACAAAAAGAAAAGTCTGCTCTTTTTAATTTTGTCTTACTATCAGTGTGGTCCCATGTGGAAAGGCAGGCTGCTAAATGCTTTTCGAAGGCTGGTGAACAGGTTAGACTTGCTTACAAGGCTAATTAAAATTGATGCATGCCATCTATTACATGTTACTACTGGATCTAAATAAAGTATCACTTTTCATCATTAATGCCATGTTCCTTCTCTACTCTGTATAGAAGTTTTTGCTTATTTTGTATGTTCCCTTTGGCTACAGACACATCACCCTTCTTAGTAAACTGTCTGAGTTTTTCAGCATGACTGTCTCATTATTTCTGTATTGGAATGGCCTCTTAGCTCTGTGTTTTGCAGTTGTTTATAACATCTACTAAAAGCGACATGAAAAGATGACACAGTCAGAAATACGGTAAAGACAGAAGTAACAGTATTAACTGACCTCATTTAGTTAATAATATGATGTGCTCAGTGCACTGCTTTTAGTCTGTAGCAAACAGCACATTGGATGTTTACACTAATACAGATATTGTAAAAAGAAGAGCAATGCTTCTGGATATATAACCGTACATACACTGCCCACGTGCTTATGTGAGAACTATGTTATTCCGAAGTTGCTTATCTGAATGGTAGGAAGATTTCAAAAAGGCTTTCTCAAGAATGAAATAAAAGGAACAGTAATGACCCTTACAACTCCGAAGATACGATTATAATTCTTCCGACTATTATTAAAGCAAACTCTGTACATCTTCATAATATAAGATTGCCAGTAGTTTTCTTTTTAAAAAGCCCAGCATAATCTCCTTAGAAAACCATTATGAAAGAAAGCCAAGAAGAGAGGACAGGAGAAGCACAAAAGATTCCCACGGGAAGGACAAGAAAAAGGTGGTTGTCAGTGCTGTGAGAACGAGTTGAAAGGCATGGGAAATATGGAAACAGACAAATTCCAATGCAGATCCACTAGCTGGAGAGGTAATTTTGCGTCTAATTTTGCACCTCTCTCCTCGCCTCCCCGTCTGCTCTCCACCATCACGCTTTTCGACAGTAAGAAGGATTTGGGGTTTTGCAGACTCTAGCGGGCATGAAAAGGATAGGGGGTGGCAACGACTTGAATTAATGACGTTCTCCTACAGGATGGAGGGGAAAATGACTTAGTGTCATCAAATGAACTCCCTACTCCTGGCATAAATTTATCAAACTGCAACTTTATCTCGAATACTCTGGAAGAGTAGAGGAGAGGCCCTAGAGAAAGCAAGTCTTGAGGGGAAACGCAATGCTCTTGGCAAAAACCGCACCTCCCTCTTGAACTACACTGACTCTTTTCACAGAGCGCCTTCCTTTAATAGAATCACAACCACCTGGACTACTAATAAGAGGAAGAAGAAAGGAGAAAAGGGAAGGGAGGATGGCAAAAATCACGCTCTAGAAGATCCAGGCAACGTCGTCGTGAAGAATAAAGGGAATCAAAATGGGCACTGGAACGCTGCTAAGGGCTTGCTTTGTTAACACACTTGCACAACTCAAGTTCAGCTCTATCTTATGTTGAAAGTCCTTGTTTACGATCCTCGTAGGAGGTTCTTAAATATCTGCCTGCGAACTCCCAAAGACTGGGCGCTTACTAGTTAGGGGAGGCAGCTGTCCCGGAGGGTGTCCAGCTCGGATGGCTGACTGCTCTTTCACTTGTCGTTAACTTCCACCCAGTAGTCTTAGTCTCCCCTTGGACATGGTACCGACCGTGTGCCATTCTTATTTCACTTGACCGAGCCCGAGCTGCAGCCCAGGGTGGAAGCCGCAAGGGCTGGGCAGAGTTCCAGGCAAGAGGGACCGAGAGGCGTGAGCAGTGCTCCGCAGCGCTTGTCAGAGAAATGGAGCAGCGGCTCCTTTGTGGGCTCTTACATCCCCGTCCTGGGTGCACAGCCCGGATATTTGATCTGTGGGGTGATTGATAAGTGAGGGAGAGGGGGGACGCGATCCCTCCCTCCCTCCTCCCTCCCTCCTCCCTCCTCACTCCCTCCTCCCTCCTCCCTCCCTCCTCCCTCCTCCCTCCCTTCTTCCCCTCTCCTCCCTCCCGCTTTACTTCCCTCCTCCCTCTCGCCTCCCTCCCTCCTTCCTGCAAGAAGCGTTGCCCGTTGGCTAGCTGCTCGGTGGGGATCTGCCTGCCCTGGGGGCGCCGCCCGCGCTCCCCGCGGTGCTCTCGCTCCTGGGCTGCGCCAGTCCGAGGCGGTGCCGGCTCCTTTGCCTCCCCGAGTCGCAGATGCTGCGGGCGCCTCCGGGAAAAGATCTGGGCGGCGCGCTCGCTCGGTAAGTTCTGAGCACTCAGGGACGCGGTGGCGACGCGGCCAGTGAGCCGGCTTTCCTCAGTCCGTTGCCTTTCCCGGCCACCTCTCCTTGCGAGGGGCACCAGCGTGGGGAGGCTGGGCGCCATCCGCGGAGGGCAGCTCGCTGGCGGCCGCCCTCTACCCTCAATCCCCACTGGAGATTCCTCACCCCGGGACCGTCCGCGCGGGCGTGGTCGGGCTCCGCGCCTCGCGCAGCGGGGTGGCACAGGCGGCCAGGGAGGGCCCACGCACCCGGCGCGAGCTAGAAGCCTCCGGTCGGCCTGCAGTGCCCAAGTCCCATGGCGAGGGCAGCCCGAGTGGCCGTCGCGGCTGTAGGTCCGCATGCCGGGCACCGCACCAGGCGTCTAGCAGGTAGGGGCAGGGAAGGTAGGGCTGCGCTGGCGGCCGGTGCCCAGTTACCGGCGATCGGGGACGCTCGGAGACACCTGGTCTCCCGGAAGCGCCCTTCGGAAATGGGATTCGACCCGGCTTGCGGGCGGCGGGTGTTTAGAAGAAGAGGCTGCGGGCAAGCAGTGCCCCCTCTCTGGTTCCCCGGACTCCTCTTAGCCCCCTCGTGGCCTGATGGGCGGCCGGGACGGAGGTGGGCTGTAAGCCCGCCGGCACCCACCGTGTCCTGTGGAAGGCTTGGAGACCTGAGCCAGGCTCTACTCGGTTAGATGCGAGTGAGACAGGCGACGGAGTTCGTCTTTAAGCCTCCCTTGCCTCAGCAAGGAGAGGGAGCGTTTTCCTTATTTTAATGACCGCCTTTCCCTCCCTTGGGGTCCCAGTTCACCCTGAACCTTTCCACAGCCTTAAAAGCCCGCTCTCCCTAGCGGAGTGCTGCGGCAGTTCTTCAGAAGACACGGGGCCAAATGAAACTTACTTAAAGTGGTTATCGCGTTTCAGGCTGATTTGTTCCTAGTAACTACGTTTTGGAAAGCAGCTGTGGACTCTCAAGGACAGGCAGGAACGAAGACCTCCTTAGGGTCCGAGTGTCGCTTCCCACAGTTAGATTACCCATGAATTTCCTTGATTCTGTAGGTCTCAAGAATCTCATGAGCCCCCAACCACCTCCACCTTTCTCTCTGAATCTCTCTCCTGTCTCTGAAATTCTTCGCAAAAATAATCTGTCCTCAAGGAATATTGAAAGCGTCATCAATGTCTTGAAGGAAATTACTGTATCTGAGAACCGAAACTAGTATTTGATGTTTCACTTTCAAATACATTTTTTTTTAATAAAAAGGATACCTTTAAGTAAAACACTACCACTGCTATTTACGTTTAAGTAGATTTTTAATTCATATTAAGCAGTAGTGTGCTTTTTGGAAAGATGATGGACTGGGACTCATAATCCCTGGGTTTTGTTTCTATTTGTAGTTTCTTGAGTAAGTCAGCACTTTCCCTGGTTAAGAAATGACCTCATCTGTAAAATGAACCTGACTTCTAAGGTCTTGTTCGGCTCTCACGTCTTTACTTCAGTTAAATATTGACATAATACATGTTTGTTGAATGAATGACTGAATGAATAAATCTTATTGCTCTAGGAACTATGTGCTTTTAACCTTTGGAAATACATAGAAACAAATGCCTCCTTTGCTAGGAAAGGGAGCTTAATTGTGCTCCCACTGCATCAGACTGCTTCCATCTAATGATGCAATTGCAATACAGGGTGGGAGGCCATCCACAGGGCTGTCCCTCTGCCTCAGAGCTCATCTCAAGTTTGCCCTTCTCTATGGAGAAGGAAAATTTGAGTCTCCAGAAGGAAAGTATTTTGCTAAACGCCAAGCAAGAATTAGAGGGTAAGGGGGCTTCTGATGCCTGGTCCAAGGCTCTTAGAAGAAGAAGAAGGAGAAAGGGAGAAAGCTCAAGAAAATAATGCACAGATCACCAGCTACAGGTGGCCCTAGTGCCTAAGTTTATAAACTACCCCCGCCCTTCCCGGAGAGAAAGGAGCTTGTATAAAGGGAACAATCCTAGAACCTAGGCTTAACAAGGAAGGAGAAGGGGAGAAGCAAGGGTCATTCTGTTCTCAAGTGGTTTGTTGTATCTGTGTGTTTATCTATTCCACATTTGGCCAGGCAGTGGGACTCCGGGAAAGCAAGCTGAAGTGTTTTGTGGGACAGGCACATCATTTGGTCAACTCCTTTTCCCTGGTTGATTCCCTCCTTTTCCTGACCCATCTCCCCCTTCCTACCAGAGGCAACCAAGGCCTTTCCAGGCAACAGCAGACATTATTTACCCCTTGCGAATTGATTCCACAATGGAAGACTCTTGGGTCCAAGGAGCTGTAAGATAATTAAGGAGAAAACAGATAATGAAGGCAAAAATCCAACACCTGGCCATTAGCAATGCTCTGGAAAGGCTATTTAAACCCGCATTGGATATCAGAGCTGGGAGGGCCCATACAGTCTACCTACCTGCCTTTTGCAGATGGACACAGGAAGATCCAGAAGCTAGTGGCACATCTAGCAACAGAGCCAGATCAGAACCCAGGTAAGCTCGGTCTCAGGCCAGGATTCCTTTTCCATCTCCTCTCTTTCTCAGGAGCCAGTCTTCCTGCACCAGCTTCCTCTTTTCTCCTAGCTCCCCTGCCCCTGCAGCCTGGAGGGCTCAACCACCCTTCCTTTGGCTCCCACTCCCAGCTGAGGCTCAGCCTGGCAGTGCTTTTCTGACACCCACTTCTTTTCTCCTTCCTCCAGGCAAGAAGTGCACGTTTAAACCTCATTATCTGGCTAAGTATAAACCTCAGGGAGAAAAGGGGTTTGTTTTTGTTTTTCTCAGTCTATAAGCTAACATTGAGCTGACTTTCAGAGTCCAGGCAAATATGTTTGGTGGGTCACCACCCAGAAAGGAATTCTCTTAGCACTGAATCAGGGCTCTGTATGTAAAGTATAAATCCCCTAAGAGAACTCCTCACCCTCCTACACAGACACATTGGTGCATGCACACACACCCCACTCTCTGCACAGAGAGCATCTGAGCTAGGAGCTGGCAAGTGGGGCACCAGTCCTGTAGCAAAGAGGCACACCACACACACACACACACACACACACACACACTCTCTCTCTCTCTCTCTCTCACTCACACACACACACACACACACACACACACGCTTCTCCCTTGCTTGGGAATCTGGGAGAAGAACCCCCCACCCCCACCCCTGCCCTCCATAGGCATTGTGTAGGTGAGAGAAAGAGGGAGGAGTGAGAGAGAACACACAGAGGGGCCCAAGGAGGTGCCAGGCCATTAGCAGGGCCCCTCCTTGAGAAACCCCTCTGCAGGAGCTTCTCCTGCCGCCAGCCAGGTTGGAGGTGGAGTAGTTCAGAATCAACTGACGCAGCCGGGAATTGAGCTTTGCAAAGCCACTTGCAAGGAAGGGAAGCATCTGCCCAACCCTCCCCCACCGCGCGCCCTGGATCCTCTGCCTGCCCCCTCCCCCGTGACGTCACCCTAGTCCTGTCCCGGGGAGCCTGCAAAGCCTCTCAGATTCAAACTGCTAGACGCACTGCTGCCACCGCCACCGAATTGGAAACGCGCGCCCAGGCTCCGTCGTCGCCTTCGCCCGCCGACCGGGCCAGCCGGCTCTCCGACCTCCCTACAGAATCGCACCCCAGTCCCTCCCTGGCAGCTCGGCTTCCCTCAGCTCCAACTCTTCTCTTCCGCTCCTGCCTCCTGTCGGATTTTTAATTTCTGCGCACCCCCAGTCAAATTAAATCAACCAACAAAAAGCAGGGCATCCCCCCTGGAAGCAGCGTCTTATTTTACCTTGTTCTCCCACTTCCTGAAGATGCTAAACTCCTGGTGGACTGCAGAGGAGAGGGATTCAGTCTTCTCCTGATGTGTGAGTAACCCCCACCTCGCACTGTCTTTCCCATCTCTATCTCTCCTCTACACCTGCCGCCAGCCCCCTGATTCCTGATTTTCCCACCCCCTTTTTGCGCTTTTTTTTTTTTTCCTAAAGCGATTGCGATTTCTGCTGGGAGCTCAAGACGGGCGAGCTGCCCGAGATCTCTTCGAGATACCCCAGGGGAGGAGGAGATGGGCAGGATTTAGTAGGACAACTCGGTTACTAATGACTTGGCGGCTGGCTGCGACCCCCCGGGAAATCAGGTGCAAGCATGTGTGTTCCCGGGGCGCGTGTGTGGGTGGCCTCGGGATGGGGGAATAGGGAGCGGAGAAAAGAAACCGCTTTGGAAAATGCAATGATTTCATTCTGCCGTGTTGCTAACCCCCTCATTCTCCCTCGCTCCCACTCCGCCTCCTTGCTTTACCATTTTTAATCGGGCTTCCTTGTTTCTTTCTTCCCTGCACCCGCTTCTTCCCCCTGCCCCCACCTAAGGTTTGCCTGTAGGTACCTGAGTTGACACCGAAGGTGCCTAAAGATGCTGAGCGGCGTTTGGTTCCTCAGTGTGTTAACCGTGGCCGGGATCTTACAGACAGAGAGTCGCAAAACTGCCAAAGACATTTGCAAGATCCGCTGTCTGTGCGAAGAAAAGGAAAACGTACTGAATATCAACTGTGAGAACAAAGGATTTACAACAGTTAGCCTGCTCCAGCCCCCCCAGTATCGAATCTATCAGCTTTTTCTCAATGGAAACCTCTTGACAAGACTGTATCCAAACGAATTTGTCAATTACTCCAACGCGGTGACTCTTCACCTAGGTAACAACGGGTTACAGGAGATCCGAACGGGGGCATTCAGTGGCCTGAAAACTCTCAAAAGACTGCATCTCAACAACAACAAGCTTGAGATATTGAGGGAGGACACCTTCCTAGGCCTGGAGAGCCTGGAGTATCTCCAGGCCGACTACAATTACATCAGTGCCATCGAGGCTGGGGCATTCAGCAAACTTAACAAGCTCAAAGTGCTCATCCTGAATGACAACCTTCTGCTTTCACTGCCCAGCAATGTGTTCCGCTTTGTCCTGCTGACCCACTTAGACCTCAGGGGGAATAGGCTAAAAGTAATGCCTTTTGCTGGCGTCCTTGAACATATTGGAGGGATCATGGAGATTCAGCTGGAGGAAAATCCATGGAATTGCACTTGTGACTTACTTCCTCTCAAGGCCTGGCTAGACACCATAACTGTTTTTGTGGGAGAGATTGTCTGTGAGACTCCCTTTAGGTTGCATGGGAAAGACGTGACCCAGCTGACCAGGCAAGACCTCTGTCCCAGAAAAAGTGCCAGTGATTCCAGTCAGAGGGGCAGCCATGCTGACACCCACGTCCAAAGGCTGTCACCTACAATGAATCCTGCTCTCAACCCAACCAGGGCTCCGAAAGCCAGCCGGCCGCCCAAAATGAGAAATCGTCCAACTCCTCGAGTGACTGTGTCAAAGGACAGGCAAAGTTTTGGACCCATCATGGTGTACCAGACCAAGTCTCCTGTGCCTCTCACCTGTCCCAGCAGCTGTGTCTGCACCTCTCAGAGCTCAGACAATGGTCTGAATGTAAACTGCCAAGAAAGGAAGTTCACTAATATCTCTGACCTGCAGCCCAAACCGACCAGTCCAAAGAAACTCTACCTAACAGGGAACTATCTTCAAACTGTCTATAAGAATGACCTCTTAGAATACAGTTCTTTGGACTTACTGCACTTAGGAAACAACAGGATTGCAGTCATTCAGGAAGGTGCCTTTACAAACCTGACCAGTTTACGCAGACTTTATCTGAATGGCAATTACCTTGAAGTGCTGTACCCTTCTATGTTTGATGGACTGCAGAGCTTGCAATATCTCTATTTAGAGTATAATGTCATTAAGGAAATTAAGCCTCTGACCTTTGATGCTTTGATTAACCTACAGCTACTGTTTCTGAACAACAACCTTCTTCGGTCCTTACCTGATAATATATTTGGGGGGACGGCCCTAACCAGGCTGAATCTGAGAAACAACCATTTTTCTCACCTGCCCGTGAAAGGGGTTCTGGATCAGCTCCCGGCTTTCATCCAGATAGATCTGCAGGAGAACCCCTGGGACTGTACCTGTGACATCATGGGGCTGAAAGACTGGACAGAACATGCCAATTCCCCTGTCATCATTAATGAGGTGACTTGCGAATCTCCTGCTAAGCATGCAGGGGAGATACTAAAATTTCTGGGGAGGGAGGCTATCTGTCCAGACAGCCCAAACTTGTCAGATGGAACCGTCTTGTCAATGAATCACAATACAGACACACCTCGGTCGCTTAGTGTGTCTCCTAGTTCCTATCCTGAACTACACACTGAAGTTCCACTGTCTGTCTTAATTCTGGGATTGCTTGTTGTTTTCATCTTATCTGTCTGTTTTGGGGCTGGTTTATTCGTCTTTGTCTTGAAACGCCGAAAGGGAGTGCCGAGCGTTCCCAGGAATACCAACAACTTAGACGTAAGCTCCTTTCAATTACAGTATGGGTCTTACAACACTGAGACTCACGATAAAACAGACGGCCATGTCTACAACTATATCCCCCCACCTGTGGGTCAGATGTGCCAAAACCCCATCTACATGCAGAAGGAAGGAGACCCAGTAGCCTATTACCGAAACCTGCAAGAGTTCAGCTATAGCAACCTGGAGGAGAAAAAAGAAGAGCCAGCCACACCTGCTTACACAATAAGTGCCACTGAGCTGCTAGAAAAGCAGGCCACACCAAGAGAGCCTGAGCTGCTGTATCAAAATATTGCTGAGCGAGTCAAGGAACTTCCCAGCGCAGGCCTAGTCCACTATAACTTTTGTACCTTACCTAAAAGGCAGTTTGCCCCTTCCTATGAATCTCGACGCCAAAACCAAGACAGAATCAATAAAACCGTTTTATATGGAACTCCCAGGAAATGCTTTGTGGGGCAGTCAAAACCCAACCACCCTTTACTGCAAGCTAAGCCGCAATCAGAACCGGACTACCTCGAAGTTCTGGAAAAACAAACTGCAATCAGTCAGCTGTGAAGGGAAATCATTTACAACCCTAAGGCATCAGAGGATGCTGCTCCGAACTGTTGGAAACAAGGACATTAGCTTTTGTGTTTGTTTTTGTTCTCCCTTTCCCAGTGTTAATGGGGGACTTTGAAAATGTTTGGGAGATAGGATGAAGTCATGATTTTGCTTTTGCAAGTTTTCCTTTAAATTATTTCTCTCTCGCTCTCCTCCCCTCCTTTTTTTTTTTTTTTTTTTTTTCTTTTTCCCTTCTCTTCTTAGGAACCATCAGTGGACATGAATGTTTCTACAATGCATTTCTTCATAGATTTTGTTTATGGTTTTGTTTCTTTTTTCTTCTTTGTTTTTCAGTGTGGGAGTGGGAAGAGGAGATTATAGTGACTGAAGAAAGAATAGGCAAACTTTTCAAATGAAAATGGATATTTAGTGTATTTTGTAGAAGATCTCCAAAGATCTTTTGTGACTACAACTTCTTTTGTAAATAATGATATATGGTATTTCCATCGTCAGTTACCGAGTATAGCCACTGGGTATCACTACTTTGTGTTAAAGTGCCTTCGCACTTTAAGTACATTACTTAAATGTTGCTTTTAGCTTTGATAAATTGAAAATATTTTAATGTGTTGTATTTTTGAAATTGAAAACACTGTAAAATAGATTGATGTGTCAGCTATATTAAGTCAACGTACAGTTTGCTTGAGTTATAGAAACCAGCCTGTCATCAAATGATTCTAGTTCTAGGACTTTGTAGGCTTAACTATAAAATATTTCCTTTCCTCTGGGTTTAAGTGATTTTATTTAAGTCAACTAAGGGGATTTAACAGTGGACTAGAGGTAATAAGCCACCTCAGTCAGGATTAATAATTCATTAATAAAATATATTTAACCCAATATCAGAGTGAATTGAGCAATTAATGCCCTTCCATAAATCATTATTTTACACTAACATGGTGAGTGTTTTAGATTATTTTCCTAATTAAAAGAACGTGACACAGCTAGTAATATATTTTTCTGCATTGAATTAGATATTTTTATATATTTAAATGAAAAAGTCTGTATTTCTAACTTTTTAATTGAAATTAATATTTTTTCTGCCTATTGAAACATTTTCTATAAACACACACCAGTAGAGGCCGCCACACACCTCATTTAACAAAGACATATGAGCCATTAAAGACCTCGAAGGAAGACTTCATGGGTGAGATTAAAACTTCCCAAGTAAGTTCTCTGCAAAATTCAAGGTAGCAGAGATAAAAATGTATCCATTACTCTATTTATTTTAGATCACGGGTTAGACTCATAATCCTTCTCAAGTTTAACACTTTCTGACAAAACAGCATTTTCCTCTTGAGTTTAATTGAAGCATTAATGGGGTGCTATCAAATCAAGTACTATTTGCGTCTCCAAATCGATTAATAGTTACCTAAACCAAGACATTAAGCATCTTTTTCCTTCTGCCTTCTTTAGGCTTGTGTTACTTGAAGTTTTCCTTGTCAGCTTGAGCAAGACTTTCATTTTGGTGTTAGCATTAAAATGATTTTAATTAGCCAAGTCTATATAACATTTATGAAGCCTTATTAGACTGTAAATAATTTTAGATGCAAACGTGATTGTGTGATTTAAACAAACAGCCCTTCTTTACAACAAAAAATAGTTTTGTTTTGTCTATTGTAAATCCTTATGCAACTGGGATGGTGATCTGCATATAAAGTAGTTCAGCTTTTCAATTCCTTATTAAAGCAAGCGATGGCGTCTGAAAGAAGCACACTGTTTCCTTTTCATAAATAGGTTACTGCACATAATAATCCTTTATCGTCATGTGGAGATTGAAGTGGATACTGATAACTTACTTTTAAAGCTTTAAAATTACCAATAGTATATTGTCTGTCACTATAAACAATTCATGTGATAGGCTTTCAATTAGAAATTCCTTAAATCCAAATTATTTGGATTAATGATTACTGGTGTAAAATAGTTGTTTGTAAAAACAATAGAAGGTAATTGTGTGTATATAATAACGTAAAGGGCATTGAAGAGAAACATATCTTTAACAACATAAAATCTCTGAATATCTACAGTGGCAAGCTAACATGCTCATTCTTTGATTAGAGGTGATAATTCCTATTTCGATCCATTAGAAGAAAGTTGAAAATGGTGGGCTGAAATGATCTTCAAGAAAGTTAATGTACAGATATTTTACATTTCACAGAAGAGGAACTAGAATATTATGCTAGTTGAATGTGGAGAAGACTCCTGGAAACCACTTCATCTTTGAGTGAAGTATTTATATATAAAAGAGTTTCAAAAATCCTTTTCTGACTGCTCTCATTTGATGCAATGATAAATACAGAATACAGAGGTAGGTATTTTGGGAAGTGATTGTGAAGGCAAATTTGCATATATATTCTGTTAAGATCATTTTCAGGCTTAAATTATATGACTAGAGGCTCTTGATGCAGTGATTCCACTTCAGTGTTCATTTTTATTTTTCTGAAAGTAAAGATACTCCTGTAAAATGCCATTGTCCATAGAAAAAATATTAACTCATTAAGTTTAAAGACAGATGATACCTTAATATTAACTTACTTACACGATTTTAAAGACGCCTACTGAGAGAACTCAAATTTATAAACTCTGTTGCCTAATAATTATGGTTTAATTCTATATCCTCTTGCTTGTTACAGTTATACTTAATTTGCAGTAGATTTTTAAATGAAATTATTTGAATGTATTCCAGACTATTTTATTTAAAATCATCATACATCATATACTTTGAACCTTTATTTTCTAATGCAATCATAAACATTTTAAGTTTTATTAACTCACTAGCATCCCCACTGACTATATTCTGTTTTGCTTTATCTGCTCAAGCACTTTCGACCATATTTTATTTTAGGATTTTTATTTTTATCTTCCACAGCTGGATATTGCTATTTCACTTTTATTTCACATGCAGCTTTAAGACGTATGAGCATCAGCACAGCAAAATGGTTCCAGCCTACAGAATGCAGTCTCCCAGGGCCCTGCCAAGAACATATCTGTATGTCTGGCCCTACAAATGACAAATGGTAATTCCCTTCTATTTTAGCTCTTAATTAGTTGCTTTCACTATTTCCGAATATACCTGTGGCTAAGTTTTTATTGAAACACTCAAAAATACCACTTCTCAGTATGAACACAATTGCTAAGAGCCTAATTTGGTTCTGGACTATGGTCAACCTGTGTGCCTTGTTAGTTCTCTCCAGCAGCTGGTGAGTAAGGAAATGACCCTTCAATTTCCTCTTCTTTTTCCTCTGACCTCTGTGACTTAATTTTTCTTAATGTCTCCAAGTCATCAAGGGCTTAATAATTTATGAATTTTACAAAAAGCATTTAAGGAATAAGAAAGAGGTTCTGTGATTTTTCAGACTCTGAAAATTCATTTTGATTCTACATATTCCAGAAATATACTGGGTTGGATGCTAGAGTGAAGAAAGCCGTCCAGACAATTCTCCCAGTCCATTCATTTCTTCATTCATTTGTTCATTCAGTAGTTATTGAGTGCTTATTTCCTGGGTGCCTGGCTCTAGGCTATGTCCTGAGACATACAGTGGACAGGGTCTCTACCCTCCTCACAACACCCTCTTCACCCTCCACGCCACCCCCTACTACTCACTCTCACCCTAGCAAGGAGCTTCGTGCTAATAAGAGAGAGTCTTACCTGAATGGCAATCGCCCAGATTAACAGTGGAGACAGTAATGCAATGCAGGAAGTTAAGTTTTTAAAGGTGATTCTGTGCAGTAAGGTATAAAACAGATATATAATAAATAGCCTAGCTTAGTCTAACATCTCTTTAGAATTACACAGCTAAAAAGGAAAAAAAACACCAAAATAAGATAAAATAAAACAAATTTAAACACCAAAATAAGATATAATAAAACATTTGTTTTTGCAAAATAAGGCCCAATGTTATGGCCTAATGAAAGCTATATACTTGTGCTATCTAAAGCACTACTTTGTAAAGATGACTACCCAAGATTGTAAATACAAAATTTAAAAAGGTACTTAAATTTTCTGGAATATCCATGTTTCAGAGGTAATATTTACTTTCTATTTCAGTGGCTTAAATTATAACGTTTTGGCTTAAGTGTCTTTTATCAATACAATGATAAGACACCTTAATCCTGAGAGAGAAAATTAAGTACTGTATATAGGTGTACTTTGCTTCTCACAATGATTGTGCAAAAAGTCACGTGTAAATTGAACTTTTGTAAATCAAATTGTATTTTAAATGCATTAGGGGAGCTGCCATTTAGAGGAAACTTGTGAATTCTTTCATAAAGCAGAAAACCATTTTATAATACAAATAACCATTCTCTGATTTATCTCTTTTGTATGTTTGGATTTTCAATATCGACTTTGCTTAAAACAGAGCCCACCTGCATAGTAACTGTGTTTTGCCAAGGCTGCTTGTGCTACCAGTTTGCTGGTGGCTAACGGCTTGTGCTTGAAAGTCTTCTGAAGTCTGATGTGAATTGAGCTATCAAGCAATGCTATCATAGCACAGTAGCAGTCCTGAACAGTCTGAGCAGCCAACCCATTTCAACAAAATTGAACACAGGACTCTTCTGCTCAGCAGCATCTCTTTTCTCAGATGTGGCCATGTTACAGTAGAGGGTATTCCATAAGCACATATTCCATAAAGTGCTCAGAGTCACAGGTTTTATAATAAATTATGTTATTATGTAAACGAATTGCATGCATGTTGAAATTTTTTAGCAGTACTTTAGCTTGAAAGTACTCGTACAAATACTGTTAGATTTAGTTGCAAATAATTGTTCTCAAGTTATTGCAATAAATGTCAAATGAAACAAGCTCTTGTGTAAATAGACTTCTGTGCCTAATAGTGACATTGTTTCAAAAAATAAATGTCATATTTTGGGCTGTTAATAGGCAAAATGAAACATTGGAAATGTGATCAAATGATCTTGGGTTTTATTGGATAAACTGTTTACACAGTTACTTTATGTGTAATTACATTTCAGTTAATAAATAAATATTCACTAACAACACTTAAATTAGTTAGAAAAGATATTTAGAGTCTGAAGAGGAAATGAATGAGAAACTATAATTGAAACTGTTTTCTTCGCCTTGATATGCTCACAGATAAAGGCTTTGATTCTTTATATGATTAGTTTACATGTTTAAGGTAAAATAAGCTTTATAAAAATATATATTCATACTTTTCCATGACTGTTCATTAGTATTAGACTTAAAAAATTACAAGTAAACAACAACAAAAACAATTCAAATAGAGATGCTTTGCTAAATACTGAAAAAAGTACTGATTCCCCACTCTCCTCACCAGACACAGACATACATCTACACCAGAGCCAATTGTTTTTTAATTATAAAATTCAGTCTAACACCGTATGTGACCTAATATATTTGTACTTAATAAAAGACTGACGTACAAATCCAAGGAATATAAATTATGAGTTCATTAATAGAAATGCCATCACTGTATTCCTAAAAAGTAGATTTAGAAAAAATAATGAGAGAGAAAGGCAGGGGGTTCATTTGTTCCTATGATTATGGTGATATAATGGCAAAGTTACTACTTTGGCTATTTGCATTTGGTTGAATATTAGAATATATCTGCCAGGCATGCTCCAAATCACAAATGTATAACATAACAAAGGATTTGAGATTCCTGTGGGAACATGAGGACTTATAACAAATTATCCTCTCTTAGGATTACCAATATATGCACAATATATTCAGTTTATTCACGTAGCCTTCATAGGGCAGCTGAAACAATTGGAATAGCCACATTCAAAAGTGTTTTGCTAAAGGAGAATTGGTGCCAGTATACCAGGTTATTAGATCCCTTGACAAGATCAGTTGAAATGAGAATAAAAGTAGTGTACAGCTCCCCATTCTGAACACATGTAATATAAAATATTAAGTTCATAATGTGCCTGTTGATACTGGAAAAAGAGCATCAAAATAGGCCGGGTGTGGTGGCTCAAGCCTGTAATCCCAGCACTTTGGGAGGCTGAGGTGGGTGGATCACTTTAGGTCAGGATTTTAAGACCAGCCTGACCAACATGGTGAAACCCCATCTCTACTAAATTCAAAAAATTAGCTGGGCGTGGTGGCACATGCCTGTAATCCCAGCTACTTGGGAGCCTGAGGCAGGAAAATCGCTTGAACCCAGGAGGCGGAGGTTGCAGTGAGCCGAGATTGCGCCATTGCACCCCAGCCTGGGCAACAAGAGCGAAGCTCCGTCACAAAAAAAAAAAAAAAAAAAAAAAAAAAAAAAAGCATCAGAATAGATTTTGTCAATCTTGGAAGGGGTGGAAAATGTTCCTCATCCATACTTCCCTGAGCAACAACTTTGTAATTACTTATACATCATTTTTGTTAATTTTATTTTAAATTATTATTTTATATTTCCTATCAACATTTATGATAAAAGAACATTTAAGCTATTTATCTGTCAGATTGTTTCCTGGAATTTTGGGACATTTTGATCTTGGCAGAATGTGGACCACAACATACAATCTAAGGTACTTTCCAGCTCACAAAGAGACTACCAGGCAGACAAGATTTGTGATGGACTGTACTCTGGGTAATCCTCAGACAAATCCCTCCCTGATCTGCCTTTTACTTTTATATTGTTAACACCTGGCATAGTGTTTTGGCGCATAATACCTTACTCTCCAATAAATACTTCTGTTTAGTGAATAAATGAGTGAATGGGTGAATGAGGCTCTGGTTCTCAAATAAATGCTGAAAAATGGTTGAAAACTAGAGGATCTAAGTTTAAAGCATAATTACAATGAATTATCAGCTGTTCCTGGAAGTCTTAAACTATTTGGTTTGAATATTTTCAGAATTTTATGAGACACACACACACACACACACACACACACACACAGAGAGACATACCCCATGAGGATGGCAGAGAAGTGTAGTAACACATAGCCAAGATCTAAAGTTAATTACATGCAGGCAGGCCTGATTTTTTAAGTGACACTTCGGTCTGTCCATTGAACCCAATGATTTCATTCTAGAGTTAAAAGTAGCTTTACTGCAGAGCGGTGAGATTGTCTTGTTATTGGCTTTTGGAATTGGGACGTTCTGAGTTAAGAGAAAATGCAGTCTCTGACGAGCTTGAATGATAAATTCTTCCAGAGCTTATCATTTAGTTTTTATTATGGCTCTGTATATTTGATTGATTTGTTTCTTATGTCTTCCAGAGAGAAGAGAAATTATTTGAGTTAAAACCATAGTAAATCGTATTTCTGTCAAAACAAGATTGTTATGTACAGTTCAATTTATACAAAATAAGAGCCTACAAGTGGTATTTCACAGTGAAGAGTCCTAGGATCTGAGGTTCTGACCTTAGTGTGGCTATAAAGCTGTGAGGATAAGTTGTGGTTCTCATTGGGCCTCAGCTCCCTCATCTGGGAACAGTGTTGGACTAGATGAACTCAGCGGACACATTCAACTTTGGTTCTCTGTGATTGTAGGCTACTTCGGAAATGGTTGCTACACACAAGACAAAATAGGGATTGAGACAATTATTATTTAAGCCTGAAAATCTCTTATACTTCTCTTTTCAGTTGTCTACTTTGGATATAGCCCTATTCTGATTTTTTTCTGAAGGATTCAAATGCACAATTTATCTTGGGTTAATCTCTCTTTCTAAGCTTGACTTAAAAAAATTTTAAGCCATTTTCCTCATTTCTTTGTAAATCACAAAACCCTACTACCTTTTTTTTTTGGGGGGGGGGGATTGTGATGGATTTTCCATTTATCTATTTTTCAAGGAGTTGTCTTTTTTTGTTGATAAGTGAATTTAGTTATCCTCCGTGACAATTAAACAAAGTAAACTATGAATCTATCTAGGTAGACCACATTATCACATTTCAGGGAAAATAGCATTTGTTTTTTTATTTAATGTTTTATCACCTCTCCCTTTTAGCCAACACTGCCAAGTTTCTTATCCGGGATACTGACAGACCCTTGGACAACTCAGTTGAGCTTCAGAAATTCAGTGATTCATTCCAGTGAGCAAAGCTCTTAGCTGACTAGAGGTGTTTGGCCTCTTCACGACCATAAACTTCAGCCATAGTTTTATTTCTGGACTGATGTGTCTCCATCTGCTCATATAGATTTTAACTGGAAACAAAGAAATAAAGCCCTCAATATTATAATATTCAGCCGATATGTTCTCGTGTAAGAGTAGAAAAGAGGAAAAAACGTATCCATTCAAAACGTTTCTCTGCTTTCCAGAGGTTTCTGAGGGGTTTATTAAAAGCATTCGCGAATGAAAGGAAAATCCAGCAACAGTTGGCTGCGTGTTTGTTTCTGTCATGTTACAGAAGGTTATTAAAGAGGCAGTGTAGGTTATCCTTGTCCAAACCCCACCATCTTAAAAATAAATTTAAAAGGATGTCATTGGAATATTAAAGACTTATAATATGATTACATTTCAAATATTTAACTTGAAATTTTTGAACAAAATATATTTTATTGACTAAGTTGATTTCTGAAAAGCAAATAGATTTTAAGTAATAATCTGTGTAAGTTAGGGTAGGCGTTTGTTGAAATAATTCATTAGTTTTAAACTGCATTTATTCAGATTTTGCTTTGCTCAAATTCATCAGAAAATTGTTCAGTTCTACTATGCAAAGGGCTCAGTTGTTCTGAAATTTTAAAAATAAGCTAATTTTCCTGTTCTTACAGACTAAAATGAGGAGAAGCTCTGTCTGTATTGATGTAGCTTGTTTTTCAATCATACTTTCTGAGTTTCTCTGTAGGGCAAAATCAAATATACAAAGATGGGTATTTGTACAAAGACAAAGTAAAGTCTTAGAAAAAGAAGGGTAAATATATACTTTCTCAAATGATTTATAACAGAGGGCTAAGAAATAGGGAGTTTCACAATCTCCTCTTACTGTGCCTGTCCAAGAGAAATCCTTCCTAAGTCATGATCTCTAACTAGGAGCCAAATATTTTTGCTATTTGAATAAGATTTAAAATTTTACTGGGCTCTGTTTTGCTCTTCTCAAATCACACTGATTCTTTCTCATTTGCTGACCCGAGGAGGATCTGATAAAAATGAGATTTAGCCTCCATGCTTCTGCGAATTCTCTGTGTGACACTGGACCAGGTCCTTCCCTTCTCTGAGCCTCAGTTTTTTTGTTTTGGTTTGTTTTGTTTGTATTTTTGTCAGATAAAGTAGTTAGATTTAGCCTTCCCACTCAATAAAACAGTTGAATAAAAATGAAGCCATTGGAGAAAACTGGAATCCACTTTAATTCATTGAAAATAGTAAATCATTCTCAAACTTGACACATTATTATTAATAACAAGTTATTTTCAACAAACTTCACACCTGCTCTCTGACACACCAGTGAACACATTTTGACCAGAAGTTCTAACATTCCTTTTTGCTTAAAAAAGGCCTCATGATTTTATTTCCCTCATTCTTATTTCAGCTCTTAGATATTATAATTGTATAAATCTACTTACACAAAGAGTATGAGTAATTTCTGGTAATCCTTATGTGGTAACAGATTGCCTCTAAAAATACAATTTATGCAGTGCTCACTGTGTGCTGAACATTCAAGCAGATGCTGCGCACATCTAAAACAAATCCACAAGTGTTCCTGCAGGCTGTGTGTGGGCCCAGCCCTGGGGCAAGATGCTGGGCGAAAATGGAAATCTCACTAGCCACTGAATCTTCCTCAAGGACCTCCTGTATGTTGGGGAAACAACATACACACTTGAAATAAGACATGATGCCTGCTGTTGAAGAATTTATAACCAAATTGGCAAGATGAGCTGCTAATCCTTGAAGAAGATATGGGAGGTCAGGATCAGAAAAGAAAAAGATCAATATGGACCAGACTGGCATGATCTAAGAAGGCTGTGCGGAGCAAGCAGGACACTGAAACAGCCTTGAATTGAGAAAGGCTTGGGCAATCAGCAAGCTTGAAAATGTAAAGACAGGAATATGCATGCATACAACAGTGACAAGAATACTACTGGCTGAACTTACCTTTTCATGGTTCTGAGAGCCAGAAAAGGGAACTTGGACTTGAGTCCAAAAATAATGGAAGGTTCTCCAAGCAAAACAAAAGTTATAAAACTACTAATATTTGTATGCGGTCTTAGAAAAATGTCACATGCATTTCTATTGATATTCCTTGTCCTCACCACTTGAGATTGTTATGTCTGTGTTAGAAGGAGGAAATTGAGGTTTAGGGAGTTTTAGGGCTTGCTCCACTGACCCAGTGACTATAGGGAGAGGCCAGTTTAGCTAGGATCAGCACAGATGGGTGTTCAAGAGCAGGCACTCTGGAGCCAGCATGCCCCCGTTTGAAACCCAGCTCTGCCACTTACTAGCTGTGTGACACTGAGCCAGTCATTTAACTTCTCCAGGGCTCAGTTTTCTCATCTGAAACAAAGAGACAATGATTATATATAACTCAGAGTGTGGTTGTGAGTATCAGTGAGTTAATACTTAAAAAATAACATATATTTGTTGTACAATAAAAGGTGCCAAAGAGATAATTTGAAACGAGTTATGACTGAGTTTTTACCCACATCCTGTCCACTCCATCACTGAGTTTCACTGGATAAACAGAGACGCATTGAGTTGTCTGGCTGAAAGAGTGATCTGAACATTTGGGCAGAGAGGAGGCTGAGTTCTAGGAAGCTGCTATGGTAGTTCAGGGATAAGAAAACGAACCCCTGCGATTAGGGAAATGAAGAGAAGATAGAGGAAACCCTGCTTCTATGTTCAACCACAGGCTATCCACAAGCTGGGAGGACAGATTGATTTCTTTTTCTCTTTTCTTTATGCATCTTTCTGTTCTTATTTAACATTACATCTCAAAGATCTTTCCATATCAGCATAAACAGAACTATTGCTTTTTAATAGCAGCTTTTCTTTTTTTCTTCTTTCCTTCATTCTTTTCTATTTATAATTGACAGACAATAATTGTACATATTTATGGCGTAGAGCGTGCTGTTTCAACACATGTATACATTGTATAATGATCGAATCAGGATAGATTGCATATCCATCACTTTAAACATTAATTTCTTTGTAGTGATGACATTCAAAATCCTCTCTTCTGCCTCTCTTGAAATATATACTGAATTGTTATTAGCTATAGTCACCTTACTGTCTAATAAAGCACCAGAATTTATTCTTCCTGTCTGACTATATCATTTACCTCTCATGCAAACTTTTCCAGCCCCAATTTCACCTACCCTCCCCAATCTCTGGTAACCACTATTTTACTCTCTAATTCTATGAGATCAATGTTTCTAGATTCAACATAAAAGTGAAATCATGCAGTATTTATCTTTCTGTGCTGGGTGTTTTCACTTAACATGATGTCCTTCAGGTTCATCCATATTGCTGCAAATGACAGGATTTTATTCTGTTTTATGGCTGAATAGTATTCCACTGTGTATATACCACATTTTCTTAATCCATTCATCCACAGATGGCCTCTTAGGTCGATTCCCTATATTGGCTATTGTGAATAGTGTTGCAATGAACATGGGCCGATATATCGCAGATATATCTTCAATATACTGATTTCCTTTCCTTTGGCTATATACCCAGTAATGACATTGCTAGATCATATGGTAGTTTGATTTTTAGTTTTTGGAGGACCCTCTCTGTTATTTTCCATATTGGCTGCACCATTTTACATTTCCACCAACAGAGCACAAGTGTTCCCCTTTCTCTGCACCTTCGCCAGCGTCTGTTATTTTCTGTTTGTTAATAGCCAGTCTAACTGGAGTAAGGTGATAACTCATTGTGGTTTTGAGTTACATTTCCCTGATGATTAGTGATACTATACATTTTTTTCATATACCTGTTGGCCATTTGTATGTCTTCTTTTTAAGAAATGTGTATTCGGGTCTTTTGCCAATTTTTAAATTGGATTATTTGTTGTTTTGCTATTGAGTTGTTTGAATAAGATTGATCTTTTAGAAAGCCATATTTAGTAACATGTCCATTTTTTATAATCAGCAGATTCTAAGCATAATAATATTAGTATTCTCTAAGGGAAAGGCATAAGGCAAATGGATTTTGAAAAAGGACTATTTTCTTCATGGATTCTTAAGGGAGAGAACCTTTTATTTATTTATTTTATTTTATTTTATTATTATACTTTAAGTTCTAGGGTACATGTGCACAACATGCAGGTTTGTTACATATGTATACATGTGCCATGTTGGTGTGCTGCACCCATTAACTCGTCATTTACAATAGGTATTTCTCCTAATGCTATCCCTCCCCCCTCCCCCCACCCCACGACAGGCCTCGGTGTTCCCCACCCTGTGTCCAAGTGTTCTCATTGTTCAATTCCCATCTATGAGTGAGAACATGTGGTGTTTGGTTTTCTGTCCTTGTGATAGTTTGCTCAGAATGATGGTTTCTAGCTTCATCCATGTCCCAACAAAGGACATGAACTCATCCTTTTTTACGGCTGCATAGTATTCCATTGTGTATATGTGCCACATTTTCTTAATCCAGTCTATCATTGTTGGACATTTGGGTTGGTTCCAAGTCTTTGCTATTGTGAATAATGCCGCAATAAACATACGTGTGCATGTGTCTTTATAGCAGCATGATTTATAATCCTTTGGGTATATACCCAGTAATGAGATGGCTGGGTGAAATGGTATTTCTAGTTCTAGATCCCTGAGGAATTGCCACACTGTCTTCCAAATGACTGAACTAGTTTAGAGTAAGGGAGAGAACCTTGAACGGGTTTGGTTATTAGATGAGAAACCTGAGGCCACCTGACGAAGAATTTCAGCCTTACACAAGATTCACGTAGGCCATCTAGGCCTTAGATATGTGCGGAGCCAACTTCAGGGGCATATAATCTGTGCAGTTGTGCAGAGTCTCAAGCTTAGAAGTCTCAAGCTCACATTTGGTTTAATGCTCTGCTCCTCTGATGGTTCTTGAAATTATGAATAGCTTTTGAACAAGGGACTCCACATTTTTAATTTTCACTCGGCCTCACAATTTATGTAACCCTTCCTAGGTCTATGACACCTGTGACTCAATTAACCTGCCACAAATTCCTCTTGCCTAAGGCAGATCTATTTCTAATAGGACCATTACCTTATGAACATCCCACATTCTGTCGTTTTTCTGACTATCTGTGTTTTATCACATTGTCCTCTCAGACGAGGTATTGAACTAAATGGAAGTGTGGATGTTTCTCCTTTAAACACTCTTTAAATACGCTTTCTCCTTAAGTGCTCTTTATTCATGTTTTACTCACCTTTTTAGCTAATTCAGACTGCGTATGTGTGTGTGTGTGTGTTTAAGAAAAGTAAAAGCATCCGTGCTAAAGCAGCAGCAGTGGGGGGCAATGCAGCTTTTCTGTTCTGTGCAAAGTCTGTTGTTATCTCAATAGTGCAGAGCTGTTGAGAGTAGCTGGATGATTTTGCAATGTAAGAAGAGCAATTTAGTTTTTCTAGGGCAGGTAAAAAATGGCTTGCATTATTTGAGGAGGCTTTGTAAGAAAGGAATTGTGTACTTTTAAAAACTCTCCATTTACCTCTGTCACCTATGCTGTGGCCACAAGAATAACTTCAAGTGGGGCCAGATTTTACTCAGCAGAGCAGCCTCGAAAGTGAAGGACGACGAAGGGAGCAGAGTTTTCTTCATTTGAGAACATAAAGAAAAAGGAGCATTTTGAGGGGAAGAGAACTTGGAAAAGTTGACGCAATACATTACAGCAGGTGTAGAAATGATGGAATCCTGATTCACAGGATGGATATTTTGGTTTCATTCTATTGCTTTATTATAGGTAAAATTGTTTCAAAAGGCTTTGAGAATTTCTATTAAATGGCATCCGGATAAGTTTTCTTAATTACTCATAGTAAAACTCCTTAAACAGTAAATGAAAAAGGTCACATTAGGACATTATTGTACAAGCAAAGACTCCCCCAATGCCCATGCAAAGATTTCTAACTAGCATTTGTCCCACACATAGGAGGAGTTCACAGGCAAACCTCACAGCTGCCTTTGAAGCTGGCATGTTTGGAACCCTAAGCCACTGGATTGCATATCAGTCTTCTGTTTTCACAAGACCTAAAACCGTGTGTCTCACTCAGAATGCAAATAAGTCATAGGGACAGCATTGCCTTGATTTACGGGTTTGGTCTTTTTGACCTGAAAACACATCAGTTTATTGAAGGGCTGTGTAAGCACTGGTGTGACTTAGGCAGTTCAGACTGTATGTTGGGCTCTACGGTTAGGGCTTACATTTATTTATGTATTTATGTTTAAATAAAAGCACTCAGCACATTGTCCATTGATTCCTTAATCTGACAAAATCCCAATAGTGCCAAGTTGTGCAGAGGCCTCGAGCCTGGAGGAGAGGTAAGCTATACCGCTGGGTTGGCTGCTTTGTTACTTCAAGCATGGAAGGGTGGACTCAGGCACCAGAAGCCTCTTTCATCGAGCTCTGGGGCTTGTCTGATGGCTACAGATTCAGAAAGCTTTGAATCGGATTTAGATTCAATTGCTAAAAGTTGCTGAATCACAGTAGAGAGCTAGCTTGTGACTTATAAAACTTCTGGCATTATTTGTTTTGTTTTATTTTGTTTCTTTCCCTAATAACCTTAATGTTACTGAATTTCATTCATGATTGCTACAAACGATCAAACCAAGTAATGATTATGGAAATAAACTTTAAAAGCTGATTTGGTGAATAAGTACATAACTCTCTGACTTAATTCTTAAAACCACAAATCAAGAATTCCTTATGTTTATTTTTAGTTATCCTTAGAACTGGTAGATTAAAAACTGCAGTGTGACTTTTTTTAAAACATAACATATCTTATATTGCCAAAGGCTATTTTTTCTGTAAGTAGTAATGAGATCAAAGTCTCTCCAAATCTGTCATATACATTGAACAAAAATGGTCCTAAGACTAGCCGTGATTTAAAAATGCACAATTCTTCTTTAAAAATTGTGCCATCATTCAAATAATACTAAATTGATCCTGTGAATTAAATTTTAGATGAAGAAATTTCCAGTTTTGTTAATTACACACTTTTTACCTACAGCTGGTAACTTTGTTTTTAAACCATGCTGCCCCGAGATACTTGTAAATCTCACCTGATCTTCATAAAATTATAAAATCAAGCACAATTAATAGGAAAATATATTCCTTCTCATTTTTTTGGAGGTGACCAGAAGTCTGGATAAAATAACTTGATTTTTTTTTTTTCATATGGTAAACACTGACAAGAGCAAGTGTGGGAAGGAGATTGAGATATGGGTTATCACTTTATTGCTCCCAGGAACAAAGAAAAGAACTTTTCACTCCTAGCTATTATGCAACAAACTTTTTTTTCCAGCATTCTCATTCATAATGTTTTCTGGAGTGTAACGTCTGTCTTTAAAAGGTTTAAGCTAATGCCCACACATGCCAACTTAAAAATACTTTCCCATTTATTACATTTCCTTTTCCCAGACCTCTGGTAAACTTAAGAGGCCTCATTATACTATATGGAAATAAAGAGATTCCCAAATGGGGAAGGACTGTTTTGAATGCCGACTAAGGTCCATAGCCGGGGGAAATAATTAACTCATTAACTCATTCATTCATTCATGTAACAAACATTTATTAAACACTATGCAAAACTCTGGCTCTAATCCTCAAGGAGATCACAATCAAGTGGTGCAGAAAGTCATGCATAAAACGAATGCTAATGCAGAGTGGTAAATGCCATGAAAGAAGGATGCACCCACCAAGTGCCTTGAGAAGGCAGAGGCCGCAGCCACTGACTCACTCTAGGTAGGAAGACCTAGCAAAAGTGCACTCAAGGCCAGGCGCAGTGGCTCACGCCTATAAGCCTAGCGCTGTGGGATGCAGAGATAGGCTGATTGCCTGAGCTCGGGAGTTCGAGACCAGCCTGGGCAACATGGTGAAACCCCACCTCTACTATAAATACAAAAAAAAAAAAAAAAAAAAAAATCAGCCAGGCATAGTGCCTGTAATCCCAGCTATGCGGGAGGCTGAGGCACGCGAATTGCTTGAACCCAGGAGGCAGAGGTTGCAGCGAGCCGAGACCGTGCCACCGCACTCCAGCCTGGGCAACAAAGTGAAACTCTGTCCAAAATAAAAAAAAAAAAAAAAAGCACTCACACTAGACATACAAGGATGAGTAGAATTGTGTTGGCTGAAAAGGTGGAAAAGAGAACATCAGACTCAAAAACAGAGACCTGTGCACCAGACATCTGGTGTAACTACAGCATAGGATGTAAAGGGAGAACAGCAAGGCTGAGACTGATATGGTAGGCTGCAAGCATATTGTGAAGGGCCTTAAATGTCACTCTAAGGAGACTGAAGGCAATGTGAGTTTGAGTTGGGTAGTGACATGATCAAATTTGTATTTAGATAAAATTGTTGTAGTGCCTTGGATATTAAACTAGCGTAGGGAGAAAACAGAAGTGAGAAGCACAGTTAAGTCAGAAGAGTAGCTGGAGCAGCTGAAACCAGGCATATGGAAGTCCGAATGAGAAAGAAAACCAAAGAATTAGAGAACCTATTATCACGTATCTTTATAAGATGAGAAAAAGGGAGAGGTCAAATCCTTCTAGAATCTTGTATATTTCTATCATACAGGATTCTCACATATATTTGACTAAGGCTTTGTATAATTAATAAAGTCTCATCATAAAAAGCATTTACTAAATCCATATCCCCATCTGTGTGGAATTCCAAAGTACCTATGAGAAACATAATATTTTTGCTTCTAAACATGCACTGAAGGCTTTTGTAGATAAATGTCCTGCTTCGGAAAAAAAAAAAAAAAGCTATGCTTCCATGAGAATTACCTACAAATGCCCTAATTCATGAATGTGCTAACAATTCCTTTATATCATGAACATTACCTGGTATCTGTTATTTAGTATGGGCATGTAGGTGATGACTGTATGAATATATAAATGCTACATGGTTAGAAGCTCTGCAACATGTGAAATTATTGTAAGGCTGAGACTACTTTTAGAGGGAAGGTCAATATAATTTGGATGTCAGTCATGTCTTACACACAGCAGTAGTTGGAAAGCATTCAAGTAGATAATTAGAATTTGGTTATAACTTAAATTTGTTTTCTTCTCAACTTTGTTACTTAACAGGGCTTGTGTATGTTACACTGAAAGTGGCCTTCCTAAAAACTCTGGGTCTGTTATGATTTCTTTATTAAATGATTTCTATGATGTATTCATTATGTCACTAAACCAACATTCAAGTGCCCATATCTCGCTAAGCTCTGGAATTCTGCGTAGACAAGGCAGATAAAGTGATGATCCTTGTAAAGGTCAGGGGTGTGTGGAAAAACACTACCTAGGAATATATTCTTCTTTGTTTGGTTTTAAATCACAGCCATGAAGTTGTCCAAAGAACTGGTGCCAAAATCATTCATGTATGCAGCTGGTATTTACTGGGCACCTCCTCTATGCTGGGCACTACGTCTGGTGCCGAGCAAATAGTGGTAAATAAAATAGATGATGTTTCTGCTCTCATGGAGCTTACTGTCACCTAGTGAGCACTTGAAATACAGTGTGCTGAGTGCTAACCTAGGGTTAACTAGAGACAGAAAGTTCCCAGAATATAATGGACACTTGAGATTTATATGCATGGATGTATGAGAGAGAGAGAGAGAAACAGAGAGAGACAGAGACAGAGACAAAGACAGAGACAGTGAGAAAGAGAGAGAAGTAAAGATGTGCTTATCTCAGTTTTAACTAAATATTACCACATCCCCTCAGTCATCCCTGTAAAAAAGCAAAAAAGAATGAAACAGGAAAGGGGAAAAAGAAATGGGAAAGTTACATTTCTTCCCTGAAGGCTTCGTTGATTCCTCCAAATGGAAGTGACTCCTCAATAATTACGCCTTTTGATTCTGGACCATTTCTTCTAATTTACGAGCATATTTTTTTCTTGACTCTCTTAAAAATAAAGAGAACCCCATATAATAAGTCATTTTTTATTGCTACTTTTAGATAAATCAGGGAAGCATCTTTAAGGTTTGTTCTTTCTAAATGCTCTTAGAAAAAAATATTCAGCAGAAAGCTGTGTGAAGACTGAAAAAAAAGATGAGGACTATGACCAGTTCAAGCTTCATTTTCTTTGATTATTTATGCTCTTTTTTCTTCACCTTTGCCTTCCATGTAATCAGCCTCATCCTGTAGCACGCTAGAAGATGCCGATTACATACAAGTCACAGGGTAATTTAGCCTTTTGACCTTCTTTGAGCTCTTATAAATCTTTCCACTGCTGGCAGGCCAGGGTTTTGTTCTTCCCTCAGCAACAAAAAGCTGTTGCTTATAAGCTGCCTCACACAGCAGCAGAAAGGAAACAGTGAAAACTGTGTGTGAGGCTGCCTGGGGGAGGGGTGGCTGTGACCTTGGCCTTTCTGAGAATGTGGGGAAGAGGAGCAGTTCCCATTTTCCCAGTGCTAGCCGCCCTAATTATGCCAGAAGCGATGTTGGTGACAAATTGGAATGCAGTTATCAGTTGTGAGTGTAAAATGAGGAGGTTGGACAAGTTGATCTCAAAGACTCTTTCTGGCTCTCACATTCCAGGATTCTAAATATGTCTCACGCATGATAACTTGAAAAGAAAATTGAACAGGACGATGAATTAGGCTTATGCATGAGAAGCACCCTGGTGGATATCAGCCATTCACAAATCACAGCTATGGACAGCCTCTCCTGCATCCAGATGTTGAACAGGGGTGGTTCAGTCTAGGTTGTGCTAAATAAATAGGGAGAGCCTGACCACCATACTACATAAAGCGGGGGTGCTCTGACCTCAGGCAGAAGGTAAGCAGGCAGGAAAAAAATTTCAGCATTTGGTTTCTATTAACATAAGCCTGAGAACATTTCACCTTTGTAATCACATAGCTGTTTAAAAGACTCCTAATATTCAAGATGTGCATGTATGTGTGTAGGGGGATGGTTCTGAAAAGATTTTCTGAAGTATCTTTGGTGATCTTATCCAACCAAGTGATATGTGTTTTTCTTCTGGGTTCTGCTTAGGATACCATTAAATACCACCATTTTTTTTTTCTTTGCCTTCTTTATCTTTCCTTTTTTTTTCTTCTTTCTTTTTTGAGACGGAGTCTCGCTCTGTCACCCAGGCTAGAGTGCAGTGGCATGATCTCTGGTCACTGCAACCTCCACCTCCCGGGTTTAAGCAATTCTCCTGCCTCAGCCTCCTGAGTAGGTGGGATTATAGGTGCCCACCACCACACCCAGTTAATTTTTGTATTTTTTTAGTAGAGATGGTTTTGTTTTGTTTTGTTTTGTTTTTAGTAGAGATGGGTTTCTTTTTTAGTAGAGGCCGGATTTCACCAGGTTTCACCTGACTTAAGGTCAGGCTGGTCTGGAACTCCTGACCTCAGGTGATCCGCCCACCTCGGCGTCCCAAAGTGCTGGGATTACAGGCGTGAGCCACCACATCTGGCCTCTGTTTGCTTTCTGTGGTTAGTTAGCATCATCCTAACTGCTCTCATTCTTTCTTTCTTTTTTCTTCCTGTATTAATTTTAATGTGCAAAGATGAGTCCTCTTACAGCTTGATCCATTCTTGTTAAGACTTGAATATGAAGGAAATATATTGGGCAACTATGGGGTGTTTTATTCTTTTGATTGATCCAACATGGACATATGCCCATCTTAATGCAAATAATAATAATAACAAACAATTATATAGCACTTAATTTCTGCCATACAATATTCTGAGTGCTTTGCATGTATAAATTCATGCCATGTTCACAACCACCCTATCAGTGAGCTTGTGTGTATGTGCGTGTGCACATTCTTGTGAGTGTTTTCCCCCATGCTGGTTCGTATTTGTGGTGGTTATAATGTTTTGTGGTTTATTTTTAGTTTGGAGTTATGAGGGGGAAAAAAAAAGAAAAATTCCCTTCATTGATATATTTCTCTGCTCTCTTATCATGGCGCTCAGCCCCGCCCTGGCAACCTTTTATGTCCCCCCAAAATTTTGGCAGTGTCAAGAGCCCAAGCAGCCATGCTACTGGGAGCAAGAGCAGAGGCAAAACACCACGTGCCCGTCAGAGCGCTGGTTTGTCTGATATGCAAGGTCCAGCAGGCTTCATGTGGCACAGAGCTTTTGCTGTTCCCATTTTCAACTCGCTTACGGAGATGTACAGCCAAGGGAGATGCTCATTGTAGAAGAAACATAGTGTTGTTCTCCTCCAAGTGCCTGAGAGCATCCCTTACTGAATGTCCTGCAGCAGCCCAGATAGTAACCCAGAGTATTTGAAGGCAACACTGTCATGACGCAGAGCTTCAGGACAGTCACAGATCACACTGTAAGGTTCTGGAACAAAGGAACCAAGTTTTTTCAATTTTCTGGGAAGGGTTTTTGGCAATCTGCATAGCACACTTGTTATGGTCTTACCAAGCACTTTAAAAAAAGCACGTCTATCCACGCAACATTTATAAAAGCCAACGTACTTGATGATGTTTAAAGTCTCTGGACAGAATATGAAAACCAGGCCTGAACTGTCACTAGGAAAGTGAGAGAAAACTCAACATTATTTTGTGAGACACTAATGATCTCTTACCTCTTTAGTGAGAGGTTTGGACGTTCAATTTGACTATCTAATTTACCCTGGCAACTGGAGCACAGAGGCCTCATCCTTCTGCCAGAGAGTAGCATTAAACAATAGTGGTTGTGTGTTCTAATGAGTTTTTTTTATGATTATGATTCCGTCATACCAACCCCACCCCCTGCCTGAGCACAAAAGACTTCAGGGGATATGGCAGACATCACATATGCCACTGCTCCCCAGTGTCAATACTATGCATAAACTTCGGATGTTGCACGATGCAGCCTGTCTTCCTCTGGGCATGAACGTCTGCGGAGCCACTGTGTGTGTGAACATGTTTTTATTCCAAAAAGCTTCTCATTCAGTGGCTACTGAACTTCGTTGATAAGCCACACTGGAAAGGGAAGCTGGCATGCAAGTGGTAGCATCTTGCAGGCAGCACTGTGACATTTACTTTTCCCTCGCCATACCCATAAAAATCCCCAGATTAAATTTGGTTTGCCTTTTATTTCTTCTGACACCCTATGCTGGCTTTTCATTGCAGAGACTTTTTATGAGCACGTTGGACGTGTGAATGGGCTGCCAACAGATGAAGTAAAAATACTTCCATCACTCTCCCTACCACCTCCAAGAAGCAGATGAAAATACTTGCAGGCCAGGGCTGAAATCTACACAGTATGTCAACTGGTGTGCTTTCCTTAAATGCAGCCAAAACAGACAGGCACAGTGTAGACAGAAATTTTTGGTTACTTCAGAGGAAAGTAAATACATATTTTAGTTTTTAGCAACAATAGAGCAGAAATGTATCCAACATTGTCTTGCTAATTTCAAACCACTGTAGAGAAATGTTTGTTTGTGCTTGCTAATGCTCAGTATAGACAGAAACACAGCATGCATAGAACTGGTTCCATGGGAGTCATTAAAAGGCATGCTGAGAATATGTGCTAAGAATAAGACACAATTCTTTGTGCCTCTTCTTTGGCAAAACTCATTACAGGAAGTGATTTCAAAGTCAAAGGTATGACATATTCATTCCTCCGGGAAAAGAGAGGGTTGAATGGCAAGTGTCTTCCTTTTTTGTGTCTTTCATGATTGCACCTGTGGCTGCAATAGCAGGAAGACATACAGCAAGCAGGCAGGCATGATGAGGGAGAAAAGAATCAGGGCAAGAAAAGACCAGCCTAACATGAGATTGATGATCACAATGGCTGTACAATTTAAATCGCACATGATCCAATAGCATAACATGTTTGTTTTAGAAAATGCCTTCTTTGCAATATGACATGGTGGAAAAGAGTCTTGAAGTTAGAAAACATTTGTCCCAATCTTGGTTCTGCCACATCCTCTGTGATCTGGAGCAAGTTTGCCCTCTCGGTTCTCAGTTTCCTCAACTGGAAATTGAGCATAATAATTGCACCTACTACACAGTGGTTTAAGGGTTACTTACATTCACTCATATATGTCGAAGTGCCTAGTAGAGCGCTTGGCATTCAACAAGTGATTCACAATTTTTTCACATCTCAATGTAAGTAATGAGAAATCGCCCAATATCTTGCAGTGGGGCTTGACCAACTCATGAATATGCCAGGATATGAGCTTCAGTTTAATATATTTTGGTTGTTCCCAGAGCCATTGCCTCTCCGGCCAGGCTTTTGTTAACCTACAACAGCAATTTCCTGCTAAGTCTTAGTGTAAGGACCATCCTTTCTGTACACTTCTCATCTATTTTAGAAGACCACACGCTTGGAGTAGTGGTTACCAACTCTAGGGTCACATTAAAATCACAGGGGGAACCACGGATGCCCAGACCCTATGCACAGATTCTTATTCAACTTGTGTAGGATGGGTCTGTAGATATTTTTTTGCATTGGCATTTTAAACTGATCCTGAGGCAATTTTAGTAAGTAGCCAAAGTCAAGAATTGCTGATGTACAGGGTTTTCGTTGCTCTCCTCTATCTCCCACCCTCTTCCAGTAATAGTGAAGATGTGTTGTCTAAGGCGACCATAACCTCCTGCCTATTTCTTTCAGTCCAGGACTTTGCACAGTGCCTGGCATATAGTAAATGCTCCAATAATATCCGTTGAATGAATGAATGAATCACCAATGGTATATATGCTCACAAGATTTCTGATTGGTGTTAGTGAGTCATCAAGTGGAAAGGGGATAGACTTAGGAGTCAGAGAACAGTCACAAGCTTGGTGGGTTTTCATGGTTAAATCACTTACCTACTCAGAGCCTCAGTTACCCCATGTGTAAAATGAGAGGAGTAAACTAGAGGATTTCCAAGGGCCTTTAGAGCTCTAACACTGGTGTTCTACAAGTCTATGACAACCCATGGCACTAATAGCTATATTTCTGCTATCCTCATAAAATGACATGAACACGGGAAAGGGAGTTTAATGAATCTTGTAAAAAGCACTTTCTGGAACGAGAGAAGCCATTTTCATAACGGAGAGAATTTAATGGACTTAGCTTGTAAAGAAGCAATTTAGTAGCTTCTGTCCATTTGGAACAGTTGCCCATGCTAAGCAGAAAGAAAGGATAGGGAAACAAGTAATTCCTGAGCACCCACCTTCCCTCAGAGACTGAGTGTAGCCTCTGGAATTAAACTAAGTGGATCGAGACTGACCGCTCGGTGTCTTGGACCTGCTCCTTGGGGTCTGGTGAAGACGAAATGAGATAACACTCATAAAGCCCTTAGAACAGTGCCTGGCAAGTAGAAAGGATACAATAAATTTTAAAGAAAAAGTAAGAACAAGACAAAATCCAAATAAAACCCCCATGACTCTAGTGTACTGTTTGTCTCCATATTCCAATCACAGAAACTGAAGCTCAGGGAAATCAAATAAATACGCCCTCTGTGACACAGCTGGTAAATGGCAAATCTGAGTGTTCTAGTCAGTACCAGTAGCAAAAAAAAAAAAAAAAAAAAAAAAAAAAAGCCAGTGTGCTTGTCCTCATTCCTCATTGCTTTATTGGGATTCCTAACATGCCTAGGTCTGCTCTCAAACTCCCTACTGCTATTCATGCCTTCCTCACTTCAGTAGCCAGTGCTCGGGGTTCGCTCACTTCAGCAGCTTTCCTGAGTCCTTATAGGCTTGCTTTAGCTGTTGCTTCTCAGCTTTCCCCCATGGCCCCTTTCCAAGTGTCCTTCACCATGAAAGAGTAATAATGTTGTTTCTGCTTTTATACACAGAGCTACATTCATACAAGTACCTCTAGCTTTTAGCCCAACAAAAACCTCTACATAGGCAGAATTATCTATTCGTGCATCAAACCATAATGGCCTTTGCAAAGGAGAAACTTGTCTTTTAAAACTTATCCCAATGTCCTCCACAGCATCTAGCTCACGATGGGAGCTCAGTAAGTCTGGAGGAGGGCCTGAGCATATGTGCTTTTGAAACGGGAAAAATTCCCTTGTCCCCCTCAAAGGGCACGTGATGGGGGTGTGGCTCGCTTTTTCAGTGCCCCGCTTCTCAAACCTCTAGGGGAGCACGCAGACGGGCAGGCTGTGGGGTTCCGACCCCACCGCAGTGTCTAGGGGTGAATGTTTACAGCTCCTGAAGCCCCAGTGGGTATGTGTTACAGGGTGCTCTTTTCGTTTTGCCATCTATAGGTGGTTTGTGCTAACTCGCTCAATTAGGCCCTCTTTCTTGTAGCAAGGACAGAGGGCTTTCCGTATCCCGGGTTCTTGCCTTGGTGTACTGGAAGAATTGGATCACACCTGGGCTTGGAGAATGAGTACGAGGTTTTATTGAGTGGAGGTAGCTCAGGGTAAGTCAGAAGGGGATGGAGTGGAATCTGGCTACTCAGCGACCTGGGCTCTCCTCTGACTGACCCAGACAAACTCCACATCATTCTGCTTCTTCCAATCGGTGGCTTGGTGTCCAGCCGCCTGTGTGTTCCTCCGCTGATGTGCTCCTCTAGACGTCCAGCTGCCTCTGTATCTGCCTGCTAGGGTCCTCTCCGGTTTTTCTGTTCGTTTGTTTTTGTTTTGTTTTCTTTTGTTTTGTCTGAGACGGAGTCTCGCTCTGTCGCCAGGCTGGAGTGCAGTGGTGCGATCTCGGCTCACTGCAAGCTCCACCTCCCAGGTTCAAGCGATTCTCGTGCCTCAGCCTCCCGAGTAGCTGGGACTACAGGCGTGCGCCACCACGCCCAGCTAATTTTTGTATTTTTAGTAGAGACGGGGTTTCACCATGTTTGCCAGGACGGTCTCAATCTCCTGACCTCGTGATCCGCCGGCCTTGGGCTCCCAAAGTGCTGGAATTACAGGCGTGACCCACCGCGCCCAGCCAGTCTCCAGGTCTTTACAGGCACAGGATGGGGGTGTGGCAGGCCAGGGTGGTCTTGGGAAATGCAACATTTAGGCAAGAAACGCCTGTCCTCACCTAGGTACGTGGGGGCGGGGCCCTAGGCAAAGACCATGCCCTCCTCTACCCAGCACTTCCCTCCCCCACTTCCGTATCATTTAAAGGGACCATGCTCTTCCCTTCCCAGGACTTCCCTTCCCTATCACTTTGAAAGTTACCCAGGTGACATTACTATGTGCCCCTGGTGAAGACGCTCTAGATTCTAGTTCAAAACTCTCATTGTACAGTTGGGGAAACCGAGCCAAAGAGGAGTAGAAACTTATCAAAGGTTGTATTCAAAGGACTCAAAGCCAGGAAGCCTGATTTCAACTGCAGATCTCTTCCCTCTGACTGCCAGGCCAAAATCTGGGGAGTACCCACATTGTTCTACTTGGATAATCCAATCTGCATCATAGCCAAGCTGTTTTTGTGAAATTATCTGCTGTCTCGTGGCCCTCTGCTCCTTTTAGAGGTATCATTTTGGAGTAGTGAGGGGAGCACTCTCACAAGGAGGCGATGTATTATAGTAGTTAAGAATGTGGAATCTGTAGCCAGGTTTTAAATCCTGGCTTCATCACTTCCAACTTGTAGGTTATTGGGCAAGTTTCTTAACTTCCCGGATATTCAATATCCTCATGTGGAAAATTGGTATAAGAATGGTTGATATGATGAGTAAATGCGATCATGCATACAAAGTACTTTGAACAAGGCCTGACAAGTATTCAATTAATCTAATTAGTACTTTCATTTCATAATATATTTCAACTGTCTTTATCTCATCATTTCTCAACTTCAAGAAAATGATATTTACACTTTTCCCAGCTCTACTCTTGGTAAAATCATGCAGATCTGGTTGTATATACATTCAACTGCAACATAAAGCAGCAGGGCTCTAACTATTTATGAGACAAAATCCCAAGTTCTTTGCCACTCAATTCTGGTCAAAAGCTGAGTTGAAATGAACATCTCCTTATGTGGAAGAATTTCTAAGAGCAGACATGGTCCCTCCACTCTTCCAATACATCCCTGGATTCGAGTATGTCCGCAGATAGCTAGGCACATAGATGTAATCATCCTGCCCATCCAGCAGAATGTCTTTTCCCAAATTATGCTTTGGAATGATACTACACCTTTAACCTCTATTAAGAGTCGTGGTGGCCAGCTGCTGTGGCTCAGGCCTGTAATACCAGCACTTTGAGAGGCCAAGACAGGAGGATTACTTGAGTCCAGGAGTTTGAGACCAGTCTGGACAACAAAGTGAGATCTTATCTCTAAAAAAATGAAAAAGAAAGAAAAGAAAAAATTACTCAGGCACTGGGCATAGTGGCATGCACCTACAGTCCCAGCTACTTGGGAAGCTGAGGTGGGAGGATCAATTGAGCCTGGGAGGTAGAAGCCACAGTGAGCTACGATGGTGCCACTGCACTCCAGCCTGGGCAACAAAGTGAGTGCCTGTCCCAAAAAAAGGGCCATGGTAAATAAAAACCCACTGTAACTCATTGTTACATGTAGAGATAGTGTTCGAGACTTTAGTCATTAGATGACCAATACTACTGTATACATGGATGCCCGGGAAAAATTCCTGGCCTTTCTCTCTACAAAGAATGATTACATATCCATTGCATACTTAATATATTTCTACTTCATGGACATTGTGGATTTTGCAGCACATAGATCCTCTTTTTTTCCTAATGGCTGCTAGGACTCTTGGAGACAATTTTCTGGCCATATCCTTAGTAGATATGTAGAACATCATGATCAGCAATTGTAGTTCACACCTAGATCACTTTGGCACCAAACTTCTTTTCCCTTTCTTCTTTTATCCCTTCTTTTCATTTCAGCTACCAAGTCATAAATTTTACACATTCTTGTTTCTTTTTCAACATCTAATATCTGACTATGTAAGAGAGGAAAGAGAAAAGAAAGAAAGAAAGAAAGAAAGAAAGGTAAATAAATACAGAAGACTTTCTCTATTATTTAAAACTAAGCCCAGTTAGATTACGTACATTGGGATTTTCCCACAAGCCCAAATCCCACAACACAAGGGTGCATTTTCAGAACGCTTATGTAGGCATTCTATCTGAAAAGTCAAGAGCAATATTATGACTTATAAGAGAGGCCAGCCAGACATCTATCATGTTGCCTCAGACTCATGGGACCAACTCGGTTCACAGTATGTTTTCCTTCCCGGGCAGTGATGCCCTATGAAGACAACAAAGTAAGAGACATCCACCATTAAGGTGATTCTCCTTTCCAGCGTCTGGAGCTGTCCATCCTTTCCAGTTTCTCTGATGAATGGAAGTTTGAGGAGGAAATAACTTAGCACAATCCATATCGCATCACATTTTATTTGCTTACCGTTGCTGATGCTCAGAGATATTTTGAAGATAAAATCAGAAGCGTTACGTGTCTTCCCAAATCAATAGTTTAATACCTTGGTTACAGGTACCCCTACCATTAATCTCAGTCTGCTTATGAAGCTATGGGTGATACTTGACGTAGCAAGTAATAAGCATGCTTTTTCATTGGTTTGGGCTCAGCAAGACAAATATATATTTAGATGCACTTTATTTTAAAGAGATGAGAATCATCATCAGTCAATTAAATAAACTTATTTCTCTCAGAAATACTATTATATGCCACTTTTTAAAAGTAAATGAAACACTTGCAGCTAGCTTTATGGTGTGTTCAGTACATACTGACATATGACAAATTTAAATTTAAATACGTTGGCTATAGTACTATATATCAATTCACCAGTAATTCACCTTTAAGGTTTTCAGCTGTACAAAAGAAATAGTAACCTTATCGGGAAAGTCACTAGGCTATGCTTCAGAACTTATCAATGTGGAGTGGATTTTGTAAATGTCTATAAATGTTAACCATTAATTTTCTTAATGCCATGATAATCTGCAATTTAGAAACCAAGCAGGTAAAATGCTTCTTTAAAAGCTAGGTGCATGAAATCATATTCATTATGAAAACAGCTCATCTCATTTCCAGGAAGTGATTTTTTACAACATTCATCAAACTCTCTTTCCCAGAGTATAGGTCATTTTAAAAGGGAAGTAGCAATGTGGATATTGGTGTCATGTTTATTCATAGACTTTAAAGCAAAGCATGTCTGAGCCAGAAAGGGTCTTAAAGATCATTTAGTCTAACTTCTTTTTATAGAGAGAGAAAGTCAGGGAAAGAGAGAGGAATGCATTTGCTTAAGATTGCCCAGCTTAAGTGGAAAGAAGCACTGTGTGTGTGTGTCTGTGTGTGTGTCTGTGTGTGTGTCTGCGTGTGTGTCTATGTATGTGTCTCTGTGTGTATGTGCGTGTGTGTGTGTGCATGTGTGTGTCTGTGTGCGTGTGTGTCTGTGTGTCTGTCTGTGTGTGTCTATGTGCGTGTGTGTCTGCGTGCGTGTGTGTGTCTGTGTGTGTCTGCGTGTGTCTGTGTATGTGCGTGTGTGTCTGTGTGCATACGTGTTTGTGTGTGTCTGTCTGTGTGCATGTGTGTGTGTGTCTGTGTGTGTCTGTGTGTCTGTGTGTGTGTGTCTGTGTGTGTGTGTGTCTCTGTGTGTGTCTGCGTGTCTGTGTGTGTGTGTATGTGCGTGTGTGTCTGTATGTGTCTGTGTGCGCATGTGTGTGTGTCTGCGTGTGTGGACGTCTGTGTGCGTGTGTGTGTCTGTGTGTGTCTGTCTGTGTGTGTCTGTGTGTGTCTGTGTGTGTCTGTGTGTTTGTATGTAGGGAGGGAGAGAGAGAAACCGAAAGAGAGAAGCACAGAAAGAGAGGAGAGACAGAGAGTGCAAAAAGGGGGTAAAAGAGAAAGAGAGAGGGAGGGAGAGAGACAGAAAAAGTTATTAAACCATGGCTTCATATAACCAGTGGCAACCTGTTCTTTCATCTGAGGAACTAGTGTTTTGGTGACTTAGGGTTTGATGAATATAACCAAATCTATTTGGCAGTAACCAAAGCCAACAGCTATTGAAAGCATGGGAAAATGTTGTTATTTATGTTCATGTTCACATTAATACCAGCATGGATTTGAAATGAGCCAAATTTAAATATGGACTACACTTAAGACTATGAAGAAATAAAAACATCTATGAGGCTCAGGTAAGAAAAGAACCCTTGGAAAAGTCTTACTGAAAACATTTGCCTTTTCAGACATTTATCCATAATAGGGGGGAATTTATATCACCACTAACTGTTTGCATTATTTAGTATGGTAAATGCCTTAAAGAGCCAAATCAGCAATTAATCTTCTTAAAAACAAAATAACTATTTCAAATTTCCTTCGATTAGCAAGAACATTCCATCTGTATGTTATTTGTCTCTAATAACTCATTGTAAGCTAACATGTTTTAGGGCAATTTTCAAGTATTCATTTGTGCTGGTGAGGGAGTCGAAGGATCTCTTAGCTGGCTGTCACATTCCACCCACATCTGCTCTTTCCCTCAGAGCCATCAGCAGGGTTGAATAATGTTTATGAAGACACACAGCAGTATACAGCAGGCTGAGGCATGGGCAAGGCTAAGAAATATGTAAGGAAGGAAGAATAGAAAAGGGGGAAATTGACTTTGAAAGGAGAGTGAAAAATATAGATGAGAGAGAATATTAGAAGAGGATTAAGAAAGGGCATCAGATATCAGATCGTGACATAACAGCAAGTTGAAAACCCGTGTACTAGCCCGTTATGAATGCTTTTTTACATTCCCAAAGCTTGTAAAAGATCTTTTTAAGACAAATGAATGTTATCTTTTAAAACATAAACTGTTTTGGAAAGTATGAAATATGCATTTTGCTCTTAAAAAAGCACCACTTTACATCCATAATGCATCAAAAGCCTACAGGATTTTATACATCTTTACAAGGTGAACTTTCACACAATACTAAGAAATTTAGTTCATTGGACAGAAATATGAAATTATTAAATGTGTTTTAAGAGAGATTCGGTGCTTTCCGAATTTTATTTAAACTTGTGATTATCACTCTAGTAAAAAAGTATTATCAAAACCACAAGCAACCAAGCAAATGTACTAAATAGGTGCTGTTTCCTTCTTCCCACCAAACGGCAATTCAATTATGCTGCGTAGTTTTTTTTGTCATTTTGGTTATTTTCTCAGAAAGCTGAACTGTTGTGAATAGGACCTTGCTGGTGTCCCAGGAACTTTTCTATAATACACACTCTTGGCAACTTAGTTCTAGATAGTGTCCAGGAACAATCTGGTTTTAATTCAGAAACAGTCCATTGTATCCCAAGTATCCATCAACCAATGAAAGGGCAAATGAAAAGTGGTCTATCCATACAATGGAATATTATTATTCAGTCTTTTAAAAAAGGAAATTGGCTGGGCATGGTGGCTCACACCTGTAATCCCAGCACTTTGGGAGGCTGAGGCAGGCAGATCACGAGGTCAGGAGTTCGAGACCAGCCTGGCCAACACCGTGAAACCCCGTCTCTACTAAAAATACAAAAAATTAGCCAGGCGTGGTGGCACGCACTTGTAATCCCAGCTACCCAGGAAGCTGAGGCAGGAGAATTGCTTGAACCCAGGAGGCAGAGGTTGCAGTGAGCCCAGATCACGCCACTGCACTCCAGCTTGGGCAACAGGGGCAAGACTCTGTCTCAAAAAAAAAAAAAAAGGAAATTATGGCACATGCTACATGCTACAACATGGATGAACCTTGAGGACATCATGCTAAGTGAAAGAAGCCAGCAACAAAGACACAAATACTGTGTGATTCTACTTATTTGAGGTTCCTGGAGTCATCAAACTCATAGTGAGAGAAAGCAGAATGTTGAGTGCCAGGGGCTGGGGGGACGGGGGTGGGGAAGTTAGTGTTTAATGAGTACAGAGATTCAGTTTGGGAAGATGAAAAGAGTTCTGTGGATGGATCGTGGCACTATGAATTTACTTAACATCACTAAACTATTCACTTAAAAATGGTTAAGATGGTAAATTTTATGTTAGCTTATTTTACCACGATTTTTAAAAAGGAAAAAAAAAAAGGAGAAAAAGTAATAGGCCACTGTAGCACCTCCAGGACTTGTGCCATCACATCTGTTTCCTTTAGTCCTTTGCAGTCCCTTTAAGATGTTGTGGATCTTAAAGAACATCCCTTAAACTCCTCAGTCACAAGTGTTCCCCTGGCTGCTACTTCCAGAGCTCTCCTTGCCTAATGTTTTCTTCCCTGAAGAATAATAACTAAAATTGAGCCTACTAGAGCCCTCCTCAAGTTAGCCCCCTCTCAATTAGCATTCTCCTTATAATTACATAACCTCTCAGGTTGGAGACCTTCCTTGCTGAGGGGCTGAGGCATTAATGGATGAGATGGGTGGAGTGCAAGTTTTCCCAACATAAGAAACAGTGTGACTCTGAGTCATCTGGGGTATTTGATTGCTTAATGGAGTTCAATGGATGGCATCTAACCTTTGGGAATAGTTGTTCCTCTGCTTCGTTTCTCTCTGTAGAACACATTAGTCATTGTCCCTGATGTGGTAGGTCAGCCCCTTGAAATTTTGCCTTTAAATAAATAGTCCACTTGCCTGCATTCTCCTCCTACCCTTCTGTGCTCATGCAGAGATGACTGTCTTGATACCAGATCGGTCCATTGCCAAGATGCCATGGCACACGCGGGACAGAGCCAGTACTCCTTACAGACTTGATGGGGTTACAACAGCTGGGTACCTGGAGAGGCCCATATTATCAGCCTTGTCATTCAATTATTTTCTATTTATTCAGCCCCATATGAAATCCTTAAATTTTTTATGAAAAATCTTAGTAGCACAGAAGGAAAAAAAGTGTTATTAAGCTAATAAAACAAACCTCCATTGGAACTAACTGGGAAAGCCGGAGAAATTAACATGAGAAATATAAAACTAATTAATTCCTTGCTTGACACAGTTAAAGATTGTTTAGATTAGACAGAGCAAAAAGGGTGATATCTTTTTTAATAATAAAATAAGCCTACACACCAATATACATTTAAATAAATATGACAGAATGAGGGCATTATGATTTAGATCCTTCGAGCATACTTGGAACAATACATTTAGTAGACATTTGAAAATGGCCTGAAGAACTCACAGTGAGTGTCATATGGAAGAGGCAATAGGGGAAACCTGGCTTAAGGAACTAAGAGTGAAATGACAGCAACAAACCTGGACCCGATAAATACTATAATCCTTTCTCTTAAGAGTTTGCTCCTCTCTCTTGGACAGGGGGAAACCTTTTGAATTCAGTTGGCCAGAATGGTAGGTACTCATTTTTATAAAACTGTCGCCTCCACTGTTTTGGGGGTACTTTGTAATTTTCAATAAGAAGAATAGAATTTTATTGAAACCAGATTCCTAAAGCCTCATTTATATTACAGATTCGAGTTCCGTATCCTTGTACTGAAGCAGAGGAAGTTGTCTTGCGTTATGTTCATAAAAGTGATAGGACTATAAAAACGTTAGTTTTAATTTGGGTACAAGAAGGGCCAGATATTTTATTGCCAAATCCACGCACTTAGAGAAGTAGCACTCTTTCATCTTGCTAGGGACATTGTTTCAAGAATTAAAGCAACGTAGTATTTTTCAAATTGATCTGAAGGATGAAGTGTGGCTTTGCAAAGTGCCTGACATTTCCTTGAGGCACCTTTGGGTCAGTCATTACCAGGGATTAGCCCAGGGTTCTTTATACATCTAGGTTCCAGTATCCTATAAAGCACCTATAAAGTGCTTTATAGATCAGTGCTTTATACATCTAGGTTCCAGCATCCTTCTCTCTACAGAGTAGATGCACTCAGCACAGTTGGTTGGAAACCAAATAGCTTACACATTCTATAAAATGAGATCACTTTTTGCCATCGGAAAAAAAAATCACAATCTATATAGAAAATGCTTGGCAATGAAGAATTAAGATAGTGTCAGTTCTGCGCTCTGTATGTTACAAGGTTGTCAAAGCAGGTATAGGCCTTTAACAATTTTTTCTCAGTGGAATGGACCCTTGTTTTCTACTTACAGAACCAGCTATTTGCATCTTTATCCACTGACACTTATCCTTCTTCATCTTTTATTCTAGATGTTTTAATTAATTTTAAATGGAGTCATAAAAATGTTGGACTTGGGATTTATAATTCACAACATAGTCCAAATCCCTCATTTTGAAGATCACAAAATATGTATTAGATGAAATGACTTGCTTAAGGTCATGTAACTACTTAGCAGTGTTACTGTGGGGGTCCTTGCTCCCAGAGCTCCCAAGATGGTGGCGGGCTGCTTCCAAGATGGCGGCAGGCCTCTTCCAAGATGGTGGCAAGCCTCATGTTCTCTGACCTGGGGTTCTTAGCCTCACGGATTCCAAGGAATGGAGTCTTGGGCCATGCAGTGAGTGTTACAGCTCTCTTAGAAGCCGTGGGTCACAGAAGAGAACCGTGGAACCCAGTGACTAGTGTTCAGCTCAATTAGGATGAACCCGGGCACTTAGCCGTGCAGGAACAATGGCGAGCCTTTAGCCCAATCAGGAGTGGCAACAGGAGCACAGCGGACACCCTGCCGTATCTGGAGGGATGGAAGTCAGCGGCGGGTCTGCAACTGCAACAGCAGCAAACAGTAGTGGTGGACAGCAAGCGAAAGCTCAGCTCAAGCAGTAACAAACATGGACCAGAAGAGTGTGCAGCTGCAAGATTTAATAGGGTGAAAACAGAGCTCCATTACAAAGGGAGGGGACCCAAAGAGGGTAGCCGTTGCTGGCTAGAATGCCTGGGTTTATATCCCGATCATTGTCCCTCCCACTGTGCTCTCAGGCGATAAATGATTGGCTCTTTCTTTACCTCCTGTTTTTGCCTAATTAGCATTTTAGTGAGCTCTCTTTACTACCTGATTGGTCGGGTGTGAGCTAAGTTGCAAGCCCCGTGTCTAAAGGTGGATGTGGTCACCTTCCCAGCTAGGCTTAGGGATTCTTAGTCGGCTTAGGAAATCCAGCTCGTCTTGTCTGTCAGTAGCAGACTCTCTTTTTTACTATAGTGTGATTAATCGAGGTCGGGTAAAGTACTACTCTGTAACACAGTCAACCAGGATTTTCCTCAAAATCACCTATGAAGGATGTTTTCTAACAGAAAATAAATGGAAAGGCTCTAGAGAAGCTTTATATTTGGTGTATGCATTTCTTTTCAAGTTTTATTTCCATCTTTTCAACCCCCATTTCTCTGCCCTCTATTCAACCCCCATTTCTCTGCCCTCTATCTTTTCAACTTTTAAAATAAAAGTAATACATACATCTGATGATAAAAATGTAAACCATACAGAAAGATTTACAGTAAATCCCTATTCATCCCCCCAAATTAAAACACTTTCATGTTTTAATCTACCCTTTCTTTGGCTAGTAATATGTATATACCCAAATTGTGTGCTTATTTTAAAGAACGTTGTTGAAATTAGTTTTAAAATATATACTACAGTCCCCTTTTCAGGAAACTTATTTGATTTACAAATAAGATGCTTGTCAGAAAAGTTTGAGAACCTGAAATGATAAGTTGAGATCAACTATATTCTGTTTTTAATTACGTAAACTGAAGAGATTGAGGGTTTTAGTAAGGTTTCTTGTTTGCTTTTAAAGATTTTTTTTGTAATATAAATTTATATTGGAAAATAGAAAATTCAGATTATGAATAATGAAGTAAGGAAGAAAATCACCCCTAATCCCAGAGCCCTGAGATGATATCATCCATTTGGATGTCACAATTTATATATTTCTCTAGACTTACAAAAACATTCAGTGAAGTAGTAAAGTGAATTACTTTAACAGCTAATACTAGAGAGAGTTCTTTTTAGGAAACGGACTGTATCTGATTAGGTAAATGCCTTAATAAGTACTTGAGGATGAGAATGATGAGGTCCCATGCATGTGATTAGAGGAAGGAAATGAAATAAAAAAACTATTCTGGGAAAAAAAATAAATAAAGGACAGGGATTCGATGAGAGATAAAGTGAAGAAATTGAAAGTTGAGCAGGCTGGTAGGAAGGTGGCACCTTCAAGGGAAGGGGGCTGTAAGGAATTCTTTGTGAAAGAATAGGCAGAGGAATTTCAAGAACAAGGGTGTTAAATAGCTGCCCCTGAATTCACTCAAGTCATCAGCAACATATCTACAAATGCCTTGGTTGAAAATGTAATCTCCATGAGAGTGGGAAACTCCTCCTTAACAACAATAAACTATCTTAGAATGAACATAAAGACCCAACCATTAACAAAGTAATTTTTTTAATTCATTCAATATTTGTTGAATGAATAAAGAAATGGTTTGGGAAAATGAAATAAAGGAATAGTGACCAAGTTTCAGGAAGAGGAAGAGAAGCACAAGAATTAAAAAGAAGCACAGATTTTGAATCAGAAGTGATCATGAGAATATAAATTGTCAGGAATTCCCAAAAATATTGGGGAAATACTAGACTTCCCACAGGACTTGGGATGGCAGATCAACACATTTTTTTTTTTTTTCAAATCCTAAATGCTAGAATGACTTCAACGGACGGCAAGATCTTTCTTTCTCTGCTTACATGTAATTTAATTTTATAAAATGGTTATCATGCTATCCAATAAATGTTGTAACTTTTTCTTCACTTAGAAACAAGTGTGGATTTACATTAATTTGAATGGTCTCGTATTTAGTGGATACAAACTATTTAACTTTTTGCTAGTTTTCGACTGTTCACTATAAAAGAGCAATGCTGCACTGAACACTCCTGTTAATTAAAATAATCACATAAATATAAAAATAAAAATTTAAACTATTACTGGAAAACAGAAGGATCCCATCAACAGGCAAGAATCGCAACATTCCGAAGGGTGTGGTATGGATAGGAGAAGGTCTAGGGCTATATTATTCTGTTGTTCTTCCACATAAGAATGAAAAACCCAGATGAGAGGTAAATAGACGGTATCCCTGAGCAGACCTTCTTCGAATTCCCATGACCCCTGTGGAAGTGAATGTAAGTAAGACCCTGGACCTATGGGTCAGTGGGGGAAGGGGACAATACAATGATCTGAGAACTACTCCAGCACCAGACCACTAAGTGACAACTGGAGTATTCACTCGCCTACGTAATACCCCTAGCAGGGGCGATGTGCTAAAAAGAGAGAGGCCAGTGCTGTAACAGGTCATGATAGGCAGCAACGACAATTTTCAAAGAGGTCAGTCTTCAAGCTAACTTTAAGCTACCACCAAAAACGTGGAGAGAAACTGCTGCGCGCAGCACTATCTGCAGGAATCCTCTCCACGTTTATTTACAACGAACTTGATCCTCAATCTAGCAAAACGAAACTTTAAAAATGTCAAACTTTCACTTTTCTTTTCAAAAATAAATTATGTGTACTAACTAGCAAAACTCAGTAGCAACTGCATGGTTAGGATGTGAAAACAGAACAATTCACCAATATGAAATATTCAACAATATGAAAAGATTCAGTAGTCCAGAAGAAAAAGACTAGTTCAAGGAATAAGGGTAGACTTCTACCACTGAAATAGACTTCATCTATGGAACTGAAGGAAACATTAGAAAAATTATAATTTGTATTCTCCAAGAGTTTTAAGAGAACATTTTATAGATTAAAACAAAGCAACGAGAAATCACGCAAGATGGCTTTTACATAAAATATGCAATTACAGAATGAAAAAAAACCAGTACCATCAAGGCAATGAACAGTAGACAGATTATTACAGAAAACGAAATCTGTAAAATAGAAGAATTTAAAAATTTCTCCTGAAACCCAGAGAAAAGGTTGAAGAGATAGAAACACAATATGCAAAGATGTAAAGGCCGTGAAATTCTTAAGTACATAGGATTGGAATTCTTGAAACAGAAAGGAACAAATGAAGGAGAAGCAATAGAGAAATAATAGGAAAAACTCTTTGAGTTTAGGCTAATTAAGTTTTAGCTAGTTAAATCTTCTTTGGAGAAAAAATACAGGATGTCCATTCATGCTGCTGAAAGGAATACATAGCGTAGCCAGTCTTTTTCTTTTGACATTTGCCAAATAGCAAAGAGGAAATCAGCATTTTTTCCCTTGGGCAAAGAGACAGGAAGCCGAAAATATCAGCTGGCACTTGGAAGGACAATCATAGTGATTCCTTGGATGACGTGTAAGAAGGAAGATAAAGAAAGATCTGAAAGAAGTATGAATGTCTGAATGGAAGCTTGCTGGTTTCCTGCCAAAGATAAATGTCTCTGAAGATCACTGGTCACCTTCAGGCAGAAAACTTGAATTTTAGGCCCCTCCTAAGAAACAAATAGTCCCACAAATGCCTTCTTGGCCAAACCAAACCAAAAACACTGACAACAGATGTCACATAATTTCTCACCGTATCTGTATCTATCTATATTGATTATATGTGTGATAACCACAAGCAATGAACCACATTTCCACCCATAAATGCTTAATTTATGTCACATGCCTCTGTGAATTATATACTATTGGTCATGTAATAACTTCTAAATTCCAACTGAATTTAATTCAATACGTATTAACCATATACTTAACGGTGTGCCAAACATGTATATGAATTATGTGTTTCATATTCTTTTTTCATATGGAAATCAATGACAGGCTGATCTCAGACAAGTGAAAAGTATCATCCAGCACCAGCATGAAATCAGATCATTTTACTGTAATTATCACAAGAGTACCACATTAGTTGTCATTCCTGTGAAAGAGTTGGAAATAGTTACTCTCAATCCTCCCCTATGAAAATGATGAAAAAGCATTTTTAAGTATTCTATTTGAAAGAATGATTTTGCAAATAATAATATTATATGCACCTCCCATACCAACTAAGGTTCTCTTTCACATTAAGAGCTGGATAAGATCAGCTTGAGATGCCATTCTGCATCATGCCAAAGTCCAAAATGTTCCCCCCAGTTTTATGATTTTCAAAGTTATGGGTTTGGATGGGGGATAGTGGGAGTGCCACAAAATCCCATGGTGATCAAGGGTTCCCAACCCCTGCTGTATTTAGCCAGTTGATGGATTGCCTCAGTCTCTTAAGGACACTGTGCCTGTTAACACAGAATGACAACTCACATAGAAAATTTAGCCTCTTCCCTCAAAAAGAGAAAAAAACACCTACTCACACAAAGCCTACTGCAGCATCTTTCTTCCTAGAGAAACACAGGAAAAGGGACTAGGCTTTCCAGGTCCAGGCGTTTCTTAAGAACTTCCACATCATCTTAGGTCACTTTCGCTTGCCTGTGGAAGAGGGAGTAAGAAGATGAGAGAGTGAGAGTGGTGGATAATGCACTCAGACAGAAACCCCATGGCTATTCAGCTCCATCTCTCTCAAGCCCTCATCAGCTGATATCTGCAGGTGCAACTGGGATTACACCTGAGTCAATCTTGACCATTTCTGGTACTTCCCTAAGAGCCCATATTCCCCAGTCTTGCTGTCCTAGTTGCCCTAATCTGGCAATCATGGCTGTGTCTTGTTCAAGATGTATCAATATTAAACCAAAACATTTCCTTTACACCCTTGCTTGCAGAGTCCAGTTGGCTTCACTTCCACTTCTTTTCCAGATAAATAATTCATTTTTCTTATTGCATTTGGAGCTTTATCATAATCCACACCTGCTGAGGACCTAAAAGAATGCAGAGCCTGACCTAGGCTGCTTTTTCTGGAGGCTGAACCCAGCTCTGTACTCTGACCCACCAACCAGCACTATGTCCTCCAGATCTCTTGTTCCTCACCTGAAAGCCTCCAAGGGCACTAAAGTATTCTGCTTTAGACTCTAAGGGCTGTTTGCTTGGATGGCATGAATGATCTCAATGGTGGGACCTCACAGGCATTCCATCAACTCACAGCAAATCTCAGACCATGTGTCATAGCCATTGTTCAAAGACTGTAATCCAATAATATTCCCCAAAAGTAATCTAAACTTTGGATAATGGTTTTTCAAAGAGGCTGGAAAATAATTTCCCTAAAAGTGCATCTAAATGATGAAGCCTACTCTCCAGACTGGCTGAAATGGATTCTCACTCTGAATAATGTTCCCCCAGTAAATCAGAGTGACAGACTACAGTCAGTTTCTCTCACAAACCTCTCCCATCCCCTGATATACTTCAGACCTTACTACAAAACTGATACCAGTTTATTGAATGGACTGAAATTGGTAAGGCACAAATAGGAAATGACTTCATTCTTCTTCCAGCACTATTCCCTACCCTGCTTTTATGGATCTCCCTGCCCCACCACTGAAAGCATAGCTTCCATAGAATTGTTTTTTCCTACATAGTTACACCTACAAAAAGCCTCATGACACGTTTTCAGGGATTTGAATGTCCATCCCAGTCCAAATCAAAACTTCAATCTCACTTCCAATACAAAACTTCTATTTCCTGCACTCATCCCCCTCTCCAAGTTCAGGCCTGACCTGTGGCTTAGGCACCTGAAACTGAGATGGAGAAGTAGCCTCAGTTATTTGCTTTTCATTTGTTATTTTCCAGTTTTCCCCAGGATCAGGTTGAGAGAGGTGGTTGAGAGAAAGGAGGAATGACTATTTATTTAGCTGTAAATTCCTTGTGTGGCTAGTGACCCAAATGCTAGTTCCTTTTTGGAAACATTTATAGACTGTTCAGAAAATTGACTGTAGGGTCTTCAGCACTACATGGTTCCTTAAAATGTGAGCAAAGTATACTCTGGCAAAAACATTGTGAACCCACTCAGTTCTTCCCCATGACACTATATCCCGGGTCCCATTTCCGTAGAAGACTGTGATAAGAAGCAAGATGGCTCAAGCCTGGCTCCCTTCTATGGCATCTACTAGTTTGGGAAGAATACTCCAAATTCTTGAAATGCCAAGTAGGAAAAGTGAAGGCTGCCCCACTGACACTCTCTTTTCATCCTGCCACTACAAGCAGTGCCAAACAACATTCAGGTGAGAAGCAAACACAAGTGTCTATGTTCACATTTTTAAAGACACGTATCAAGTTTCCCGAGAATTATTCTATTATGTTTCACTCTGATGTCAACGTGGGGGCAAGGGGTGATGCTTCTTGTAGCTTAGCAAACATCCAGCCAGGGAATCATATATAAGCCTCCCCAGTTGCAGACAGCCCCAACGGTTCTAAGTGTTTGTCTTAGAGCCCTTTTCCTGGGCTGAGGATCGAGGAAGGAAAAGTGTAAAACCATACCCCCGCACCAACAGGCCTACCTCTTCCTGCTATTAATTCTCCCCCACTTAAATGGATGCACCTAATTTAATGAATTCAGAAATTTCTAGTCTTCTCTCTCTACAGGCTGGTAGCAATGAGCAGGCTTGCAAGACCTGTTAGCCACACTTTGGTAAGCCTTATGGGAACGTGTCTAGCAAATACTCTTTAGAAGGTGGAGTTATTTATTACCCAATGTCCTCAGATTTGGCGCATTAACCATTAACCAAAAGTTCTAAAGTCGTACAGAAAAGATCCATTCAACATCCTGTTGCAATAGCAAGAAATGGGAGAAGCATACATAGCAAGGATGTACCATATGTGCATTTAACTTAAATTGTAAACATGTGGGCTGGGAAGAGAGAAAGAGGGAGGGATGGTGGGTGACAGGGGGAGGAGGAGAGGGAGAGGGAATGAAAGAATGAACAGAAGAAAACAAGAATAATTAAAATGATGAGGGTAAATCTTCATGACATTTTACTTCATAAGTAAACTTTGCAAGCCTATGTCCCCAGAATGAACTCAGTAGATGGTGCACCTGAGTCGAATATTTTCGGAATCTTAGTGCTGTGACTTTTGAAACACGCGTATCTCTCTGTGCAGAGTGTGATTCAAGAGTTTAAAAGATTCTTCATTTTTACTCAACATCGTCCCTGCAATAGTTAATTTTATGGGTCAACTTCACTGGGCCGTTGGGTGCCCAGGTATTTGGTCCAACACTATTTTGAGTGTGCCTGTTAGGGTGGTTTGGATGAGATTAACATTTGAATGGCTAGGTTGATGGCCCTTCCTAATGTGGGTGGTCCTCGTGCAATCAGTTAAAGGCCTGAATAAAATAAAAGGCCAACCCTTCCTTGAGTGAGAGGGAGTTTCTCCTGCCTTGAGCTGGGACATCTTTGTGTCATGCCTCCAAACTTGATCTAAAACATTATTAGCTTTTTCTGGATCTCGAGCTTGCTGGCATTCAGACTGGAACTTAACCATCCACCAACTTTCCTGTTTCTCAGGCCATTAGACTCCAACTGAATCTACATCATTGGTTTTCTTGGGTCCCCAGATTGCTGATCGCAGCTCTTGGGACTTGTCAGCCTCGATAATTGCATAAGCCAATTCATTACAATGAATCACAATCTCTCTCTCTCTCTCTCTCTCTCTGCCTCTGTCTCTCTCACCACCCTATTAGTTTTGTTTATCTGGAGAACCCTGACTGCTAATATAGGCCTTAAAGACAAGCCAATTAATTTATCTGATGACCAAATGAAGAAACAATCCACATCAACACTGAAGGAAAAACTAGCTATGCTGGAATTACTGAAAGACGTGCTGAACTGTACTTTTGGAGGCAACTTAAGGAGTTTCCAAAGATAATTTAATTTTAGACTTGCTACTTTTCCTCAAATGGTTAAGTTTAATCACTTCTAAAACTTTTTGAACATACCAATCTCTCTTGCATGCACGTGGAGGCTCTCTGTCTCTCTCTCTCTCTCTCTCTCTCTCTCTGTGTGTGTGTGTGTGTGTGTGTGTGGTATATATATCACACACACATATAGTCATGTGTTAGTTAACGATGGAGATATGTTCTGAGGAATGCATCCTTAGGGGAGAACATCATAAACTGTCCTTACAAAAACATATTTAAGATTATATGAAAGCATTTTCTGAAATATGCTTAATTTCTCAGGACAAAATGTTTGATTGCATGGCCAGTTAAGTGAGTTGTTTATCAAAAAAATTTGTAATTTCTCGACCTTAGTTCTGAATACACTCTTCTCTCCCTGGGACCTTGAAAATTAATTTGGGAGGTATGTTGTAAAGCTTTAATACTTGGGATATGTTGTTTCTAAAATAACACAGAGTAGAGATGTAGAGATAGTTTCAATATTATGAGACTTTGAGGATTTTCTTATTTAATAAAACTTTGATTTTAGGTTCAGGGGTACACATAAAGGTTTGTTATATAGGTAAACTTGCATCATGGGGATTTATTGTACAGATTATTTCGTCACCCAGGTATTAACCCTAGTACCCAACAGATTTTTTTTTTCTGATCCTCTGCCTCCTCCCACTCTTCACTCTCCAGTAGGCCCCAGTGTGCCTTGTTCCTCTCTATGTGTCCACGTGTTCTCATCATTTAGCTCCCATTTATAAGTGAGAACATGCAGTGTTTGATATTCTGTTTCCGCATTAGTTTGCTTAGGATGATAGCCTCCAGCTCCATGCATGTTGTCACAAAAGACATAATCTTGTTCTTTTATATGGTTGCATAATATTCCATGATATATATGTACCATGTTTTCTTTGTCTAATCTGTCACTGATGGGCATTTAGGTTGATTCCATGTCTTTGTTATTGTGAATAGTGCTGCAATGAACATTCACATGCATGTGTCTTTATGGTAGAATGATTTACTTCCTTTGGTTATATACCCAGTAATGGAATTGCTGGGTCAAATGGCAATTCGGTTTTCAGCTGTTTGAGGAATCATCACACTACTTTCCACAATGGTTGAACTGATTTACACTCCTAGAAACAGTGTATAAGTGTTCTCTTTCTCTGCAACATCACCGGCATCTGTTATTTTTTAACTTTTTAATAATAGCCATTCTGACTGGTGTGAGATGATATCTCAGTGTGGTTTTGATTTGTATTTCTCTAACAATGAGTGATATTGAGCTTTTTTCATATGCTTCTTGGCCACACATGTCTTCTTTTGAAAAGTGTTCATGTCCTTTGCCCACTTTTTAATGCTTTTTTTCTGCATATCTGTTTAATTATCTTACAATGCTGCATATTCGACTTTTGTCAGATGAATAGTTTGAAAAACAATTCTCCCATTCTGTAGGTTTTCTATTTACTCTGTTGATAGTTTCTTTTGCTGTGCAGAAGCTCTTTAGTTTAATTAGATCCCATTTGTCAATTTTTGCTTTTCTTGCAGTTTCTTTTGCTGTCTTTGTCATGAAATCTTTGTCAGTTCCTATGTTCAGAATGGTATTGCCTAGGTTGTCTTCCAGGGTTTTCATAGTTTTGGGTTTTACATTTAAGTCCTCAATCCATCTCGAGTTTATTTTTGTGTATGTCGTAAGGAAGGGGTCCAGGTTCAATCTTCTGCATATGGCTAGCCAGTTATCCTGGCATTATTTATTGAATAGGGAGTCTTTTCCCCATTGCGTGTTTTTGTCAGCTTTGTCAAAGATCAGATGGTTGTAGGTGTATGGCCTTATTTCTGGGCTCTCTCTTCTGTTCCACTGGTCTATGTGTCTGTTTTTGTGCCTGTACCATGCTGTTTTGGTTACTATAGCCCTGTAATATAATTTGAAGTTGGGTAATGGGATGCCTCCAGCTTTGTTCTTTTTGCTTAGGATTGCCTTAGCTATTTGGGATCATTTTGCATTCCATATTAATTTTAAAATAGTTTTTTTCTAGTTCTATGAAGAATGTCATTGGTAATATAATAGGAATAGCATTGAATCTGTAAATTGTTTTGGGAAGTATGGCCATTTTAACTATATTGATTCTTCCTATCCACGAGCATGAAATGCTTTTCCATTTGTTTGTGTCATCTCTGATTTCCTTGAGCAGTATTTTGTAATTGTTATTGTAGAGATCATTTACCTCCCTGGTTAGCTGTATTCCTAGGTGTTTTATTCTTTTTGTGGCAATTGTGAATGTGATTGCATTCGTCATTTTGCTCTTGGCTTGGCTGTTGTTGGTATATGGGAATGCTAGAGATTTTTCTACGTTGATTTTGTATCCTGAAACTACTGAAGTTGTTTATCAGCTTAAGAAGCTTTTGTTCTGAGACTATGGATATTTCTAGATATCAAATCATGTCATCTGCAAACAGGGAAAATTTGACATCCTCTCTTCCTATTTGGATGTCCTTTCTTTCCTTCTCTTATCTGAATACTCTGGCAAGGACTTTCAATATTATCTTGAATAGGCGTGGTGAGGGAGGGCATCTTTATCTTGTGCTGGTTATCACAAGTAATGCTTCCAACTTTTCCACATTCAGTAAGAAGCCGGCCGTGGGTTTGTCATCTATGGCTCTTATTATATTGACATATATTTCTTCAATACCTAGTTTATTGAGAGTTTTTAACATGAACGAATGTTGAATTTTATAAAAAAACTTTTGTGAATCTATTGAGATAATCATGTAGTTTTTGTCTTTAGTTCTGCTTATGTGATGAATCACATTTATTGGTTTGCATATGTTGAATCAAACTTGGATCCCAGGGATAACGCCTACTTGATTGTGGTGGATTAGCTTTTTAACGTGCTGCTGGATTCAGTTTGCTAGCATTATTGGTGAGGATTTTTGCATCAGTGTTCATCAAAGATATTGACCTGAAATTTTCTTTTTGTGTGTGTGTCTCTGCTAGATTTTGGTGTCAGGATAATGCTGGCCTCATAAAACGAGATGGGGAGGAGTCCCTCTGCCTCAATTATTTGGAATGTTTCATAGGAACAGTTCTAACTCTTCTTTGTACATCTGGTAGAATTTGGGTGTCTTTGGTTGATAGGCTATTTATTACAGATTCAATTTTGAAGCTTGTTATTGGTATGTTCAGGGATTCAAATTCACCTTGGTTCATTCTTGGGAGGGTGTGTGTACTGTTCAGGAATTTATCCATTTCTTCCAGGTTTTCTAGTTAGTGTGCATAGCAGTGTTCATAGTAGTTTTTGATGGTTATTTGTATTTTGGTGGGGTCACTGGTAATATCCTCCTTGTTGCTTCTGATTGTGTTTATTTAGATTTTTTCTCTTTTCTTCTTTATTAGTCTAGCTAGCTGTCTATCTATCTTATTAATTTATTCAAAACACAAACTCCTGACTTGTTGACCTTTTGAATGATTTTTCATGTCTTAATCTCCCTCAGTTCAGCTCTGATTTTGGTCATTTTCTCTTGCTAGCTTTGGGGTTGGTTTGCTCTTGCTTTTCTAGTGTTTTTAGTTGGAATGTTAGCTTGTTAATTTGAGATCTTTCTTACATTTTCATGTGGGTGTCTAGTGGTATAAATTTCCTTTTTAACACTGACTTAGCTGTGGATGAAAGATTCTGGTATGTTGTATCTTTGTTCTTATTATTTTCAAAGAACTTGATTTCTGCCTTAATTTCATTATTTACCCAAAAGTCATTCAGGAGCAGATTGTTTAACTTCCATGTAACTATGTGATTTTGAGCTACTTTCTTCGTCTTGATTTCTATTTTTATTGCATTGTGGTCTCAGAGAGTGGTTGGTAGATTTTGGGTCTTTTTCATTTGCTGAGGATTGTTTTATGTCCAATTATTTAGTCTATTTTAGAGTATTTGCCATGTGGCAATGAGAAGAATGTGTCTTCAGTTGTTTTGGAGTGGAGAGACCTGTAGATGTCTATCAGGTCCATTTAATCCAGTGTTGAGTTCCAGTCCTGAATATCTTTGTTTTCTGCCTTGATGATCTCTCTAATACTGTCTGTCATGTGTGGAAGACTCCCACTATTATTGTGTGGGAGTCCAAGTCTCTTTGAAGGTCTCTAAGAACTTGCTTTATCAATATGGGTGATCCAGGTGCATATGTATTTAGGATAGTTATGTCTTCTTGTTAAATTGAACCCTTTACCATTGTGTAATAACATTATTTGTCTTCTTTGATCTTTGTTGGTTTCAAGTCTTTTTCATATGAAATTAAGATTGCAACTCCTGCTTTTTTGTTTTCTGTTTTCTTGGTAGATTTTTCTCCATGCCTTTATTTTGAGCCTATGAGTGTAACTGCATGTGAGATGGGTGAGAAAAGGCACAGAGTGACAATCTGGATGAAGAAGCAAGGCCCAATGGTATGCTGAGCCTTGCTTCTTTATCCAGATTGTCACTCTGTGCTTTTTAATTGGGGGCATTTAGCCCATTTACATTCAAAGTTAATATTAATATGCGCGAAATTGATCCTGTCATCATATGGCTTGATAGTTATTATGCAGACTTGTTTTTGTGATTGCTTTATAGTGTCACTGTTCTGTGTACTTAAGTGTGCTTTTGTAGTGGCTGGTAATGGTCTTTCCTTTCCATATTTAGTGCTTCTTTGAGGAGCTCCTGTAAGGCAGGTCTGGTGGTAATTAATTCTCTCAGCATTTTCTTGTCTGTTAAGGCTCTTGTTTCTTCTTTGCTTTTGAAGCTTAGTTTGGCCGGACATAAAATTCTTGGCTGGAATTCCTTTTCTTTAAGAATGCTGGACACAGGCCCCCAATCTCTTCTGGCTTACAGGGTTTCTGCTGAGAGGTCTGCTGTTAGTCCAATGGGTTTCCTTTTTTAGGTGACGTCTCCTTTCTCTCTAGGTGTCTTCAACATTTTCTTCTTTCATTTTTACCTTGGAGAATCTGACGATTCTGTGTCTTGGGGATCATCTTCTTGTAAAGTATCTCGCAAGGGTTCTCTGCATTTCCTGAATTTGAATATTGGCCTCTCTAGCTAGGTTGGGGAAGTTGTCAAAGATGATATTCTGAAATGTTTTCCAAGTTGCTTCCATTCTCCCCATCTCTTTCAGGGACATCAATGAGTCATAGGTTTGCTTTCTTTACATAATCTCATATTTCTCAGAGATTTTGTTCATTCCTTTTCATTCTCTATTTTTTATTCTTGTCTGACTGCCTTATTTCAGAAAGCCACTCTTTAAGTTCTGAGATTCTTTCCCCAGTTTGATCTATTCTATTGTTAATATTTGTGATCACATTTTAAAATTCTGGTAGTGTGTTTCTATCAGGGCAGTTACATTCTTTTCTATACTGGCTATTTTGTCTGCCAGTTATTGTATCATTTTATTGTGATTCTTATCTTCCTTAGACTGGGTTTCAACCTTCTCCTGAATCTTGATGATCTTTGTTCTTATCTATTTTCTGAATTCTATTTCTGTCAGTTCAGATATCTCAGCCTGGTTAAGAACTCTTGCTGGAGAACTAGTGTCATTGTTTGGAGGAAAGAAGGCACTCTGGCTTTTTGAGGTGTCAGAATTCTTGCGCTGGTTCTTTCTCATCTTTGTGGACTGATGTTCTTTCAATCTTTGAAGTTGCTCTCATTTGGATGTTTTTTCTTTGTAATTCTATTTGATGACCTTGGGAGTCTGAGTGTGTTATAAGGTGGGTTTAGTTGACTGGCTTCATTTCTGGAAGTTTTTAGGGGGGCAAGGCTCAGCTCAGGACTCCTAGACTGCACGCTCTATCTATGGGGAAGTTGTTTTGGGCCCCGGCTTTGTTCTCTGGGTCCTCGATGTTAAGAACCTACTGTGCTTGAGGGGTCAAGGTGTTTGCGGACCACTGGTCACAACACTTCAAGTGGGTGGTGCCAGCCAAAGCATTTGGTAGGGGAGTGACAGAAGGATACATTCTTGTTTGCACATGTCAGCAGCAGTGGCAGTAGCAGTGCAGTGGGGTGCCCGTTTGTCAGCAGTGGCAGGATGCTAGTGGGTGCCAGGCTGGCAGCCTCTATGTGGGCATTTGCAGCAGTAGCAGGGGGAGCCTGGCTCTAGGGGGAAGGGGGACCATGCTGGCAACTATGCATGTTTTCATGCTGGTGGTGGTGTTAGCATGGGGGCAGTGCACTGGTGGGCACAGGACTGTGTGCACCCTCTGTGCACGTTCATCTGGGTGATGATGGCTGCTCAGGCCGGGGGCAAGTCTGCTGTTTCCTGTGCCTAGTTTTGTACCCACGGCAGTATTGGTGCAGGAACAGGGTACCTGTGGGTCCTGTTCCCTCCAACACTCGAATGGCAATAGCAGTGTGGTGGGGAAAGGGGAGTTGAGGTGCACTCATGCTGGCAGCAGTGACACACCAGCGTGCACATGCGCATGCGTGCTGGCAGGGAAGGAGAGTCAAGTCTGCCCGTGTGCAAACGCACTGGCGAAGTGATGTGGGAGGTGGCTGTGGGAGAGCATATGCAGGCAAAGTGGTTCAGGGGAGGCTTCAGTAGGGCAGGCATGGGCAGGCTAGTACATGTATGTGGGGGTCGCTCTGCTGGAGCTGTCTGCCAGTCAGGCACAGCTCACCAGAGTAGGAGCTATGATTCAGTCTCCTAGGAGGTATCCCCCCTGGCATCCAAGCCTGCGTGAACAGGCTGGGGCCCCTGGAGTGGCAAGCAGACCAAGGGGTGCTCAGGTCTGATTGGCCCCATCTCATCAGCAAGACTGCCCTGCAGTATTCAGGTCTGACCATTCCTTAAGGCTGAAATCTATAAGAGCAAGTCAAGCCCAGGGGGATCAGTGTCCCTGGCCATGCTCTACTACAGACACTCTTGCACTAACCTCTCTGGGCTGTGTGCCGGCTGGAGTTCTGCCCCTACCTCTTCTCTAAGCAGCTCTCCCTGCCTACTCAAATGTCTGTGGTGGTTGTGGGATCTCCTTCTGCCAGGATTCCAGAGGCCTTTGGCGAGCGCAGGTTGCTCCTTTCCTGTGTAACTCACCCCTTCCCCAGGAGTCATTTGGGGCCAGGAAGGAATCCTGGTACACAGTAGCCCTGTGCAAGGTTTCCAGCTTCCTCCCCCTTCAGCCCAGCATGTGTGTCTTCCCTCTGTCCACTCTCATTGCCTTCCTTCTGAAGATCCACTAGGAGTGCACCAGTCTCCCCGATGTCTCTGTCCCTCCGTGACAGATGCTCCTCCTGACTGTGTCTAGTTAGCCATCTTGCCCTTCTACTTTGGGGATTTCAAAAAAGCATTTAAAGGCTCTATTCTGGACCACTTGATGTGATTCTTCAGAAGCAAATCCTAGGAGGTCATACCCAATAATTGCTAAATATGTTGAGTCTCTTCCATAGTTGGGCATCTTTGCATAGATTCTTTGGTTATAATATAAAAGCAAGGAAGCCTAATGCAGACAACTTTCCATTATCAAAGGTGGTAGATACAGTCAGGGTCAATTAAGGCACTGTTGAAAACTACCCACACTTCCACCTGCTGAAGGAAAAGGAAAACTGATCCAAGGTTAAAGGCATCTTATTACCAATATTCTTCCAGATTGTTATGCCCTCATCCTCATCCATTTTGACTTATTTTTTCCCTTGATACTCTCAGGACTTGAAGCCCTTTGCTTTATACTGCACTCCTTCAAGCCTATCTTAAGGTTTTCTTAATTTGCCTACTCAAAGCATGCAATTCCTTCACTTGTCAGATCTCATTCAGGCCTCTGCACTCTCAACTTGGCTACTCCCCTTAGCTTAATGCTCTAGAGCTCCAGGTAGGAGATGCTATTGACGCTACTTCTAGTACCACAAGAGGGAGAGGATTTAATTAGGCTGGGCGAAGTAAAATAGAAATAATTTTGCACATTATGAAAAGCAACTTATGTCACCTTAGTGACACCTTTCCAAGAGTTAATGCTTGTCTCTAAACTGTGTGTATTGGTCTGTTCTCGTGCTGCTAATAAAGACATACCCGAGACTGGGTAATTTATAAAGGAAAGGGTTTTAATGAACTCACAGTTCCACATGGCTGGGGAGGTCTCACAATCACCGCAGAAGATGAAGGAAGAGCAAAGGGATGTCTTACATGGCAGCAGGCAAGAGAGACAATGTGCAGGGGAACTCCTCTTTATAAAACCATCAGGTCTCCTGAGACTTATTCACTATCACGAGAACAGCACAGGAAAGACCTGTCCCCATGATTCAATTGCCTCTCACTGGGCCCCTCCCACAACACATGGGGGTCATGAGAGCTACAGTTCAAGATGAGATTTGGGTGGGGACACAGCCAAACCATATCACCATGTCTAATGATTACAACTATCTGCATTTGTTTACCATTATTCAGAGAAACACAAACATATGTGCATGCATACCCACACAGGTAGATGTATGGATGTCCACCAGTGGTCAGCAAAATAAATAATATAGTGATGAGACAGAAATTTATATAATTAACTTACTGAGTGTAAATTGTTAGAACACAGAGCATGGATAATTATAACTCTCTCTATATAATACACATGATATATGTAACTAGTTACAGTTATATGTATATAGCTATAGATGAGTGTGTGTGTGTGTGTGTGTGTGTGTGTGTGTGTGTGTGTGTATAGTTTTATATACAGTGTTGTGCCCCATAACAATATTTGGGTCAATGACAGATTGCATATATGATGATGGTTCTATAACATTATAATAGCACTAAAAATTTCTGTGATCTAATGATGTCATAGCATAGCACATACAATTATGTATAGTATATACTACTTGATAATGATAATGAATAACTATATTACTGGTTTATATATTTACTATACTATACTTTTTATCCTTGTTTTAGAGTGTGCTTCTACTTAAAGAAATGAAAGTTAATTGTAAAACAGCCACAGGCCGGTCCTTCAGGAATTATTCCTGAAGAAGGCACTGTTATCATAGGAGATGACAGCTCCATGCATGTTATTGGCCCCGAAGACCTTCCAGTGAGACAGCATGTGGAGGTGGAAGACAGTGACGCTGATGATCCTGACTCTACGTAGGCTCAGGCTAATAGGTGTATTTGTGTCTTCGTTTTTGATACAAAAATGTAAGATATAAAAATATTTTAAATAGAAAATGCTTATAGAATAAAAATATAAAGAAAACGTTTTTGTACATTCATATATGTTTGTGTTTTAAGCCAAGTGTTATTACAAAACAGTCAAAATCTTAAATAACATTAAAAGGTTATAAAGTAAAATAGTTACAGTACGCTAAGGTTAATTTATTAATGAAGAAGGGAATTTTTAATATAAACAGTGTTAAGTGTACAGTGTTTATAAAGTCTACACTAGGCCTTCACTGTCACTTGCCACTCACTCACAGACTCACCCAGAGCAACTTTCAGTCCTGGAAGATCCATTCAAGTGTCCTCTGCAGGTGTACCATATTTTATCTTCTATAACATATTTTTTCTGTACCTTTTCTAGGCTTACATATGTTTTGAAGCAAAAACACTTACCATTGAGTTACAATTGCCTACAGTATTCCATACAGAAACATGCTGTACAGGTTTACAGCCTAGGTGCATTGGCTATACTATACAGCCAAGGTGTGTAGTAGGCTATACCATGTAGGTCTGTGTAATCACACTCTATGATCTTTGTACAATGATGAAATCACCTACAGACACATTTCTCAGAATGCATCTTGCCATCAGTTGACACGTAACTGTGTGTATGTATATGTGTGTGTTTGTATGTGAATGTAGTTTTGGAAAATAGGATAATTTGCCCAGCTTTACAAACATGGTTATTTTGTACAAAGAAATCCTCAGTCATTATTTTTCATTAGTAGTTCACCAGAAGAGTTGTCATCGGAAGACCAGATTGCTTATCTTTTTGAAGTATTTTTCCCCTGATGGACAGTTCTTCTTTTCTCCTTGAAACAAATTTATAGAGCAGACCATTAACTGTTCTTTTTACTACCTTCAGTTAAAAAGTTCTTCAGCTGTACTGATGTCAGATAATGTACATTTTTATATAGCCATAAAAAGATTTGTCAAGTAAAATGCTCATGCCTCTTAAAGAACTAATTCTCTGAGCAGGGTCTCCCCACCGCCTAAGTCATTTCCTGTTGGTTAAGAAGCCGTAGGAACTCTTTCAGGTCTCTAACAAAACTACTCAGTCTATTGCCAAACTATCATTTGTTAGAAACAGCAGCTAGTGAATGTTTCAAATAGAACACAGTTTTTAAATGAGCTCCCTGTGACACAGGCAAATATAAGCAGTGATTTCTTAGTAAATACTGATATCTCTAGAAAATTCAGCTGCATAGACCTTGTTTTATTGATGCTTAAGGAAATTCATTCAGATGGCTTGAGCCTAATGAATACGGATGATGTAAATCTAGCTGAACTCAAGTAAATTAAACCATCTACTAAAATACAGTAACTACTAGCAATGCATTTCTATCACTGTTTGCACCAGGTTCTCCCCGCCCAAGTTGTTTGTCACACAAAATGTGACCATCTATTACCCAGCTTAAATTATTCCCAAGTCTAGCGTAGCAGTCAAATGGCCCTTCTAGCCATTAAAAACATCCAGCTGCAGAATTACTTTCAAATCAGCACTATTGACTTTTGTATAAAAGGTTTGTAAATACAGTGGATAAATGAGTGAAATGGCAGTTTTGCCCTGGATCCTGAACTGGCTGCTCAGTGGAGTTGCTTCCCATTTCAAACGCTTTCCTACAAGAAATCATGAATCTTTGCACAAGGTCAGCCACTGTCTGCTTCACTATGAAGAATGCCAGTTAAAAATTCTAAGGTTAATATGTGGGAATGAATAAGACATGAGCTAGTTTTATTTGTCCAATTCAACTTAGGCTGTTAACTGTGAACTACAGTGAGCTTAATTGCCACTGGCGATAGGAGTTTGTCTAAAGGAGATAAATGGCTGAAGAGGAGCTTCAAGCTGTGAACATGGAAAAAGAATCTCAGATAAAGTGGAAAGTTGCCTCATATTTCCAGGAAAAGTTTACTTTGTTGATAGATTTTCCTTTCTTTTTCTAAATTATGAAAACATATTTTGAACTCACTTAAGTTAATAGTTTCTAAACTGTGCTCAGTAGAAGCCCTCATCGGCCACCTCATCGAAGAGGGGCCCTGGAAAGTGGGGACACTCTCTTCCATAGTCCCCAAAGTTGCTTTCTGTATTTTTTACATAGTGATCTTTTCTACAATATTTCAGTGAACTCTATTACTAAAAGAAATAAAACAATTTCACTGAATAACTTCCCTTGCTAGAAACCATGATTTTAATTCACTCAAAGTTCTGCTAGCTGTGAATCATTTGTTCTCATTACGGGCTGTGTGGAAACTAGTGGACATAATTAGGATGTCTGCTCTACAAAGAAGCTATTGCTTTTTGCAAAGATGAGACTTGATTTTAGACTGAAGAGTTCACTTTTGGCATTCTGCTTAATCTGTCTGAAAAGCCTCTTCCTCCTTCTTTAATTTTTAGAAGGGCATTTCTAAATGACTGGAATGCCTCAAAAGAAATTTTGGATTGAAAATGTCACCTGGGTTTCCTCTATCCATAAAGCCACCAGACAGCAGAAGAAAGATGTTTGTCTTGAATAATCAGCTATTTAATTTCGACGCTGGCAAGTCTGAGCATTTTTTTGGTTTATTGATAATCTACATGAACTATTTAAATTGCCATGACTTTCGTTTGCTAAAAACCAAGGTCCTTGCTTTTAATTTGAAATAGTTTACATAAATGAACACATTACAGAGTGCTTGGAGCTGTAACTTACGTTACTTTGGACCCAAATGTGTTCTTTGTTCATGTAAGGGTCAAAGTAAATTACAGTAGACACTGGTTTCTTCCCACTGGGTTGGGGCAAGTCCTGTGGGAAGATTCTCAAAGGTTTGCCCTAAGGTAGAAGGATTCTTAAACTGAGTCAAGGCCGAAAGGGCGTTTATCCAAGTCAAACTGAGACTGTATAGCTTAGACGGGGAACCAGAATCACTGTCATGTGAAGCCAAGGTAGAATATAATAAAATGGTGCTAAGCCATAATTCCAAAAGGGGACGTGAAGGCAAAAACAAGAGACAGGAGCAGCATAGGTAACCTGGAGTGGAATGTTAGACGCAGGATCAAATGTGAGTATTGGGTATAGTTAAGATGAAATGCAAATTTATGAAGAAGAAAGCCACATGTCCCCTTTCAAAATCATGAATCAGTCATTTACTAATGGTATAGTTTTGGGTATGTGTGTAACTAACTGCTCTAAATATTGGCTTTCATATCTTTAAGCTGTGGATATTGATGCCTACCTTATGGATGTGTTGTAAGGAGTCAATGTGTAAAAATAACTACTAGGCCGGTTACTCAGGAGGCTGAGGCAGGAGAATCGTTTGAACCCGGGAGGCGCAGGTTGCAGTGAGCTGAGATTGCGCCACTGCACTCCAGCCCGGGCAACAAGAGTGAAACTCCTGTCTCAAAAATACATACATACATACATACATACATACATACATACATACATACTAGGGTTTTGGCACACAGCAGGCAATCAACAGCCACTGTTATGACTATAGTAAGCTCTTTTTTTTTAACTAAGAGAAAGACAAGTAATTTTTTTCTGCCTTGAACAACATTCACTGAGGGAGCCCTAGATGTCGTGAGGAACTATCAAAGCAAAATGAAAGCCAAATACAGTCCTTAGAGAGTGGAATAATGTTTATCAATAATAAAAGATAACATTTATTTTGTGTATCCTCTGTACTAAGTTTTGTGATACTAATGCATTGTATGCATTATCTTATGCAATCCTCACTACCGCCAGTAAGATTGGTGGTTACTGAGCTCACTTTGCAATAAGGAAACCCGGGCCCACAGGAGTCAACTTGCCTAGGGTCCAGAGTAAGTGGCAGGCAGTTGGGATTCAAGTCCTGTGTGATCCAAAAACCTATGTTCATTGTATTACATAACACTGCCTTTCCATGATGCACGTATCTATAAAGGAGTATTTTTCCTGCCTTAGAGGTTTCAGGCATGCCATTTACTCTGCCTTGAATACTCTGCCTTGAACAGCAATTTATATGTCCAATCTTTGATAAAACGTTATTACTGCCTGGCCCTACCACCTGCCCGAATTGGGTCCCCATAGGTATTATTTCGTAATATGCCTTTTCCCCCTACTAATCATTTAGCAGTCTATAATCAGACATCTAACAGTGTATCCTTGATCGTTCTGTCTGTCTCCACATACTGGAAGGCCCATTAGGGCAGGGACTGTATCTGTTTCATTCACCACTTTTTGCCCAGCACCTGGCCTAGTGGCTGCCACAAAATGCAAAGCAGGTTTCCAGGAGTTAGGAGAGTGGTGTCAGTAAACACTTGGTGAATGATTACTGATGGCTAATATTAATGGACATTAAAAGAAGTGCACAGCTAAATGAAATTTCTGGGGAATATGTGTTTTATAGATAGAAACATCCATGTATCATGCACTTAAAATGTGTTGAGGATGTGCTATGGGCCTTACATGTATTATTTAACACTCACAACAGACTCATCAGAAAAGGGCCATTGTTATTTCCCCTTCTACAGATGCAGAAATTGGGGCAAGTAGGATTAAGTAACTGTTGACAATCACATAACCAAGTAAGAAAACTCCCCACTCACAAACCAGAGAAAAAAATATAAAATAGAAAATACACGACCAAAATACATCATCTGTTCAAGGCTCGTGTGAATAAATCTAAAAACCTTTCTTGAGGAATATATTAATACCTATATACAGATATATATATACATACATACACAAATATATATATATATATACACACACACACACACATATACACACACACTTCACCATCTGTTCTATCTGTTTCTGGATAGGATGATTCAGCATTATAAAGTTACTAATTTTTCTGTAATTAATTTATAATTAAGGTAATTACATTAAAATCCAAATATGACATAAAGTTTTTTTACAAACTGATGTTATAATCCATCTGCACGAATAAATAGATGAAGTATTCAGGAGAAAAGTAAAAAAATTAAGAGAAATGAGGGCATGTTTACCATACCAGATATTGGTGAGGTAAAGTTGAAATAATTAAAATATTGTAGTGTTGGCTTAAGTATAGACAGAGAGAACAATGGAGGAGGACTGATGGCTGATAACTTGTTGGATAAGTTGAATATATTTGGGGGAGGGGCGTAAACTTACACGTTTGCTTCATCTCACATACCCAAATATATTTCACATGGGTTAAAGTGTGAAATTTTAAAACATAAGACCATTAAAAAGACTAGGAGAGAATGATTGTTGAAAGATCCGATGATAGAAACAATTATTATAAAAAACCACTATTTTTGACTAAATAAGAAATCACTATTTCATAAATAAAGTAGCATTGTACAGAGAAACTAATATTTGGGGGGCTAAACAGAACAAGCTTTAGGTATATGAAAGGATATATAAATTGGAGAGATTATTAATTGTCCCTGAAGTTAAGATATAAGTTTCCTTTAAGAAAAAAAAAAAAAAACTGCTACTAACAAAAATGACCAATAACAGACCAGGAAAATGGTTTTAAACATGCTAGATACAAGGGTAAATAGAAAAACCTATTACTGATTAAATGCTAAATTACTAACATCTTGTTCCAGATTGGGTTTGCCAGGAAACAGACTGAGTAGGAAAATTTTAAGTAACCAATTTCCTTGGAAAGTGCTCTGGAGATCAATGCATGTAGGGCGTGAGGAAAGCAGGAAGAGACAGAGGGAGGAATTCTATTGCCTCCCTCCCCTCCCAGGAGAGCTTTCGAGCTGGGATGACCCTTCAGAGAGGGCGCTCTTTAAGGCAGAGGTCCAAAGTATTCGTCTGTTTTCACACTGCTATACAGATACTACCTGAGACTGGGAAATTTACAAAGGAAAAAGGTTTAATTGACTCACAGTTCCACATGGCTGGGGAGGCCTCAGGAAACTCACAATCACGGTAGAAGGCGAAGGGGAAGCAAGCACCCGGTTCACAATGCAGCAGGAGAAAGAAGAGTGAGGAGCGAAGCGGGAAGAGCCCCTTATAAAACCATCAGATGTGGCGGGAACTCACTCACTATCAAGAGAACAGCATGAGGGAAACCGCCCCCATGATCCAATCACCTCCCACCTGGTCCCTCCCTGGACACATGGGGATTGCAATTTGAGCTGAGATTTGAATTGCCAAACCATATCAACCAAGATTTTACTCCTGCATTGACCAGGCATTAGTCACAGGTGGGGGTGGGGAAGGGGAGAAGGAGACGTGATCTTTGTCAGGGATTCAACTAACAATCATTGGATACCAACACTCTTGACAGCTGGGAGAAAAAGTGCCTCGGTCTTGAAAGGGGAATGTGGATGGCATACCATGGCATTCGCTGTGCATCCTAATGGAAATATGAAAAAAGGATAGGAGCAGACTCATCCCTCCAAATTAAATTCATATGACCAATACAAATAAATATGCAGCAGTATTACCATTACTTAAAGCCATGCAATCAAGACAAAAAGATACCTTTATGCTATTGTATGAATGCGTTCTCTCCAAAATTCAGGTGTTGCCACTGTGATAGTATTAAAAAGAAGAGACTTTAGGAGCTGGTTAGGCCATGAGGGCTTTGTACTTATTGCTGGGATTAAAGCCCTTATAAAAAAGAGGCTTCAGGCAGTGCTGGACCCAGGAAAGTGCCCTTTTCCCACCATGTGAGGATATAGAGTTCTACCTCTCTGAAGAATGCAGCAGTTATCAGACAACAGACCCAGCCAGCACCTTTACCTTAGACTTACCAGTTTCCAGAACTGCGAGCAAATAAACTCTGTCCTTTATAAACCACCCAGTCTCAGGTATTCTGTTTCAGTGGCACAAACAGACTAAGACACTATATTTACTTACTTCACTTTATTTACTTATTTCAATGAATTAGCAACAATTTTCAATTTTCAAATAATACACTGAAGGATATCAGGGATACACTGACATGGACAGAATCATACTTTTTTTTTTTATACTTTAAGTTTTAGGGTACATGTGCACAACGTGCGGGTTAGTTACATATGTATACATGTGCCATGTTGGTGTGCTGCACCCATTAACTCGTCATTTACATTAGGTATATCTCCTAATGCTATCCCTCCCCCCTCCCCCCACCCCACAACAGGCCCCGGTGTGTGATGTTCCCCACCCTGTGTCCAAGTGTTCTCATTGTTCAATTCCCACCTATGAGTGAGAACATGCGGTGTTTGTTTTTTTTGTCCTTGCGATAGTTTGCTGAGAATGATGGTTTCCAGCTTCATCCATGTACCGAATCATACATTCTTTAGAGTGAGTATAAGTTGGTGCGATTTGAAAATATATGTCAGAAAATATGCATTAGCTCAAATACTATAACACATTTTAGTAGCAAACCTAAACAAAAATGTAGTTGAGCTCAAATCACTGTGCTGCTGAAGTTCCCCAGTGGTACACCAGGGTACATGGAATAAATCTCAGGCTCCTAACCATGACTGATGAAGCTGTACATGACCAGTCACTGCCTACCTCATCCCTCCCACTCTTGGCTTCACCCCTGTGCTCCAGTTCACTAGTTTTCTTCGTGTTCTTCAAATTTGCTAAGTTCCATCCCACCTCAGAGTCTTTACACTGACAAAAGCTCGGTTCTCACAAAATGAATACATAATAAAATGAAGTTCTGTATCAGAACTCCAGTAGGTTATGAGCTGGATCTGTTCCATCTGATTCCCTAGATCAGCAGTCCCCAATCTTTTTGGCACCAGGGACCTGTTTTGTGGAAGACAATTTTTCCACAGATTGGGGGCATAGTTTTAGGATGAAATTGTTCCACCCCAGATCATCAGGCATTAGTTAGATTCTCCTAAGGAGCATGAAACCTAGATCCTTTGCATGTGCCGTCCGCAATAGGGTTCTGGCTTTTATGAGAGTCTAATGCCTCCGCTGATCTGACAGGAGGCGGAGCTCAGGCGGTCATGCTCACTGTTTTGGCCGCTCATCTCCTGCTGTGCGGCCCAGTTGCTACCAGGCCACAGACTGGTACTGGTCTATGACCTGAGGGTTGAAGACCCCTGCTCTAGATGCACCCCTCCCTTCTCCATCCTGCTCTGTACCCCAGGAAGCTGATCTATATGGACTGCATACATGCCCTCTCTTTATCTCTGCTTCCCAGTTGGGTTTGGCCAGTAAGGAGGCACTGGCAGGAGTTCTAGAAGTAGGAAGGGAGTGACGTTAGGGCATTCGTTTCTCTGGCTTCCTCCCAGCTGAGTGCCAAGGGCTGGTTGTGGCCTTCTACAGAAAACTCCAAGTCCTGTTGGTAACCCTGTCTTAGGACTCAAGTAACCTCTGCCTTCCCTTCAACTTTCAGATCCACTGGTTACCATGGCTCCCTGCTGTAGCTAGCTTGAAGGGGCGTCACCATCCTTTTTCAGTACCCCTTATATAACCTACAGCCGTTCCTTTATTAAACCCTCCCTAATTATCTAGGGGAATGTGTCATTTGTTTTCTGTCAGGACACTTACAGACATAGATTTATGTTTGGAACTGGATAAAATGATTTTAATGTTTATAGAAAAGAATAATTGTGCAAGAATAGCTAAATCCTTTGTGAAAAAGAAAAGTGAAGAGAGATTTGCCTAACCAGATATAAAAACTTACACTAAAATAATACTATGGTACTAACATAGAAATAGAAAATAGATGACAAAAACAGAATTGAAAATCTAAAACAAAAGCCTCAAAGATAAACAGGAACCAATTTTGCTTCAGTGAGGAAATAATAATTTATTAATTAATGGTGCAGAGATAATTCTTATCAGGTAGAAAACTAATTTAGACATTTATCTTCCATCAGATAAAAAATAAATTTCAGATAGATTTAGGATATAAGGGTAAAAAATAAAATAATAAAGATTAGCAAAAATTTACTATATATATTTTTAAATAAATATATATTTTTTATAAATCTTCCTAAGCAAGGAAGAATGTAAGATGTAATAAATTAAAAATTATAAGAACATTTTTTAAAATTAAAACGTATTAAGTGGAAAGACATATAACCAGTGAAAAAGTCAAATCACAGATGAGAAAAATATTTGCAACACTTGTGACAGACAAAATGTTGTAACTGCATGTACAAATTGCTTTAAAATGCAATACGAAAATGCCAAGTGTGGTGGCTCACACCTGTTGGCCTACATATGTTGGAGGCTGAGGTGGGAGGATCATTTGAGCTGAGAGTTCAAGGCTTCAGTGAACTGTGGTCACGCCACTGCACTCCATCTTGGACAACAGCAAGACACTGTCTCCAGAAAAAAACAAAAAAAAAACAACTATAGAAAAAATGTGCAAAAGATAGTAATAGGGATTAATAGGAGATATCCAAATAGTTTAATATTTGGATATTTTAATATTTCAAATATCCAAATATTTAAAATGCTGCTCAAACTTAACTAAATTAGGGAAAAGCACATTAAAATAACAATGAGGCCTGAAGTTTTTCTCATACGACTGGCTAAAATTACAAAAGATTTGTAACATCTAGTTCCTAGAAAGAATACTGAAGAAATGGCATTCTTATTTATTAGTGGCGTGATGTGAATTACCAGCAAAAATTGAAAAATTACACAAAAATATCTATTAAACCCTTAAAAATTGACCCATCAGTCTCACTTTGGGCAATGTATCCAAGGGAAAGAAAAGCATCAGTATAGGAAGATGTAAGGAAAAGAGTGTGTATTGCCACATTATTTGTGGTAGAAAACACTAGAAACCACTAATTCAATTCATCACTAGTAGAATTGAGTAAATTCTGGTTTGCCATTATTATGGAATATTGCATAACTATGTATATAAATAGCTGTAGCTCTGTTGATCCAGAACAGGGTTTCTCAACCTTGGCACTATTGATATTTTGGATGGGATAATTCTTTGTTGGCTGGGAGGATGGCTATCCTGTGCATTATAGAATGTTCAACAGCATCCCTGACCTCTATCCAATAAATGCCAGTAGCGCCCCACCCCCTGCTCCTGTTACGGCAACCAAAAACATCTCCAGATATGGCCAAATGTTGTGGGTGGGGGAAATCTCTCCTAGTTGACAATCACTGATTTAGAAGAATGTCCTAAAATATTTTGTTACAAGACAAAGGAGGTCGCATAATAATTTATTTAGGATAAAAAATTTGTAAAACACACAATGGTAATGAAAAGCTTGCGTATGTGTTTATAGGTATGTATCTATTTGTTTGAGCTGGAGAAGGAACGAAACTAGTGCAAGGATATACACCGAGGTGTTTCCATCCACCATCTCAGGGGGATGGAAATAGAGTGGAGAATGAGAAGAATTAGAAACTTCTTTATGTTTATTTGCCTTATTCCACTGGATACAATGGCAAATATTGCATTTGTGAATAAACGAAAATTAAGGAGGAAAACAACTTTTGTAATTTAACAAGATAAAAGAACATAGGGAGTCAAGTGTTATGCCAACTGAAAGAAACTATCTAAGGTTTTAAAGCTTTTATGATTACATCCATAAAAATGAGATAATAAAACCATTTGTAGTAATTGTTCTTAGACTTTTATATGAATTATATCATTTAGTCCTTATGAGAACCCTATTATTACATCAAACTCACAAATTTCTCATGAGACTCAGTTGAAAAAAACATGTAAAAATAATTTCACTGATAATCAACATGGAAGCAAATACAAGTCTATAGTAGGTCATATCATTAACAAAGCACATTTATTGTTAAATGTTGGCATCCTGTTTAGAATATATCCACTTAACCACCAAGATGTGATCATATGTCTAATCTGGATACAAGACAAATTCAATCATCAGTATTATATTGCACCCTTAAATGTTATCATTATTATGTGTTTAGTACTTTCTACATGGCAGGTACTGTTCAAAATGGCTTATGTCTGTGAACTCACTCCATCTTCATTACTACTATGATTCCCATTTCATAGATGAACAAACTGAGGCACTGAGAGTTAAGTAATTTGCCAAGGTCATACAGCTAGAAAGTGGCTACGATGGGATAAGCTTCAAATCCAAGCATTGTCAGACCTTCCACTGCTTAGATTAGGCCCACCCATATTATGTGGCATAAACTGCTTTCATGAAAGTCAACTAATTGTAAATATTAACCACACCTACAGGGATACAATAGTAAATACAAGGGTAAATAACTCATGTCAGAAAGACTTAGGGGGCAGTCAGGAAGGAGAGAACATGGACAACATATAGCATTTACCCAGCCTGTAGCTTGGTTTTAATGTTGCAATGGATGCCTGACACAGATAACATGATCAACATTCTAGAATAAACTGAAAAGTTATGAGAACTAGTAAGATAGTTTAGTTAGATGTGTAGGCAGAAATAAAATATACAGAAATCAATAACTTCCCCATATAACAGCAAGAAGAAATTAGAAAATACAATAAAAATAGGTTTAGTCACAATAGAAATAATGCTTATGAAGTATCCAGAAACAAATTTATCAAAAATTATTTTGGGGCAATGCAAAATACATTAATAAATTTGCTAAACCCGGTTTAAAGCAATACGATCATTTCAGCTGCCAATTTCTGTGTCAGTGCTGTATTCTTTTATTATTGCTTTATAATACATGTTATTACTTAATAATATAAATATTCCTTATTTCCCTTCATGTCTTTTGTATTTTAAATATTATCATTCATTTAGTCTTGCAGGCAACTGACTAAGACTTTAACACATTTCCAGAGACATGATGAAATATTAAAATTTCCATAACGATGCGCTTGAAATGTACTTGAAAAAAACTATTTGATGTGTTTGGAAACAGATACCATAATTATAACATTGAGTTTTGCTATATCCAGGATGACATGTGTATACCTTTTAAATATTAGGACTATGGAACAGAGAAGATGTGAGAGATTATTAACTTCTTCAGTTTATATCTTTATAATTTTTAACAAATTAGGTTAAAAACCTCGTTCCTAAATAACTTGGGCTTCTTGATATTTGAAACAAGAACCTCTCCCATCTCAAGTTCTCTTTTCTGTACAAAGGAGAAAATCAAACAGATTACTAGTATTGATAATAGCATGGATAATTATTAACATTTCCCGATCACTTGTTTTTCAGGCAGTATATTGATTGAATTTACACAGATTATTTCAATCTTAATGACAAATCTGTACCTTAGATCCTATTTTCACCTATATCCTGTGGTTTCAGGATTTAATGAATCAACACATGTAAACATATTTATTTATTTATTTTAAACTGACAGATAAAATTGTATTTATGTAAAACATAATGTTTTGAAATATATATACATTATGAAATGGCTAAATCGAGCTAATTAACATATGCATAGCCTCACATCGTTGTCATTTTTGTGGTGAGAACACAAAACCGACTCTCTTAACATTTTTTGAGAATACAATATATTAACTACAGTCACCATGTTTTACTATACGATATCTCTTGGATTTATTTCTTCTGTCTACCTGAAATTTTGTATCTTTTGAACAACAATGCTCCCAACACCCTCCCCTGCTACTGACACAGCCCCTGGAAAGCACCATTTTTACTCTCTACTTCCATGAGTTCAACCATTTTATATTTCACATATTAATGAGTTCTTTTTCTGCCTGGCTTATATCACGTAACGTAATGTCCTCCAGTTTCATCCGTGTTGTTGTTCCAGTTTCATCCATGTTGTTGCAAATGACAAAGTTGTCTTCTTTTTAGTTTTTTATAAGTTTAGATTTAGGGGGTACATGTGCATGTTTGTTACCTTGATATATTGCATAATGGTGAGGTTTGGGTTACTAGTGCACACTTCATTGAAAGAGTGAACATTGTATCCAATGGGTAATGTTCCAACTCTTATTCCTTCCCACTCTTCCCCCTTTTGGAATCCCCAGTGTTTCTTATCTTCATCTTTAAGTGCATGTGTATCTATTGTTTAGCTCCCACTTCTAAGTGAGAACATGCAGCTTTTGGTTTTCTGTTTCTGAGTTATTTCTCTTAGGCTAATGGCCTCCAGCTCCATCCATGTTGCTGTAAAGAATGATTTCATTCTTTTTTATGGCTACATAGTATTCCATGGAATATATATACTACATTTACTTTATCCAGTCAGCTACTGATGGACACTTAAGTTAATACCCTGACTTTGCTATCGTGAATAGTGCTGTAACACTGTTGCTAAACATATGACTGCAGGTGTCTTTTTGATGAAATGATTTGGTTTCCTTAAGGTAGATACCAAGTAGTGGGATTTCTAGGTCCAATGGTAGCACTATTTTTGGTTCTCTGTGAAATCTCCACACTGCTTCCCATAGAGGTTGTACCAATTTATATTCCCACCAACAATGTATAAGAGTTCTCATTTCTCCACATCCTCACTAACATCTGTTATTAGTTGTATTTTTAAAAATAGCCTATTCTGTCAGGTGTAAGATGGTATCTAATTGTAGTTTTAATTTGCATTTTTTCTGATGATGAGTGATGTTGAGCATTTTTTTCACGTGTTTGTTTGCCACTTGCATGTCTTCTTGGAGAAATGCCTCTTCATGACTTGTACCCACTTTTATTTTTTGAGATGGAGTTTTGCTCTTGTTTCCCGGGATGGAGTGCAATGGCGCAACCTTGGCTCATTGCAACCTCTCCATCCCAGGTTCAAGTGATTCTCCTGCCTCAGCTTCCGGAGTAGCTGGGATTACAGGCATGCGCCACCACCCCCAGCTAATTTTGTATTTTTAGTAGAGACGGGGTTTCGCCATTTTGGTCAGGCTGGTCTCGAACTGCTGACCTCAGATTATCCGCCCACCTCAGCCTCCCAAAGTGCTGGGATTGCAGGCATGAGCCACCGCACCCGGCCCCTTTTGCCCATTTTTAAATATTTTTTTCCTGTTGAGTTGTGTGAGCTCTTTGAATATTCTGAATATTAGTCCTTGGTCAGATATATAATTTGCAAATATTTTCTCCCATTCTGTAGATTATCTGTTTATTCTGTTGATTATTTCTTTTGCTGTGCAGAATCCTTTTAGTTAAGTCTCATTTGCCTATTTTTGTTTTGCTGCATTTGCTTTTGAGGTCTTAGTTATATATTATTTGCCTAGGCCCAAGTCCAGGAGAAGTTTTTTCTAGATTTTCTTCTAGAATTTTATAGTTTCAGGTGTTACATTTAAGTCTTTAATCAATATTGACTTGATTTTTGTATATGGTGAGTGATAGGGGCCGGGTTTCAATCTTCTGCATATGCCTAGCCAATTTTTTCCAGCACAATCTATTGAATAGGGTGTCCTATCCCCATTGTTTATTTTTGTCGACCTTGTGAAAGATCAGGTGGTTTTATGTGTTTGGCTTTATTTCTGTGTTCTCTATTCTGTTCCATTGGCCTATGTGTCTATTTTTGTACCGGTATGATGTTGTTTTGGTTACTATAGTCTTGTAATATAATTTATGTCAGGTAATGCTATGTCTCTGGCTTTGTTCTTTTTGCTTAAGATTGCTATGGCTATTCAAGCTCTTTTTTGGTTCCAGGTAAACTTTAACATTGTTGTTTTTCTAATACTGTGAAAAATGATATTAGTAATTTGATAGCAGTTGTGCTCAATCTGTAGATTGCTTTGGGGAGTATGGTCATTTTTATGATGTTGATTCTTCCAGTCCATGAGCATAGTATGGTTTTACTATACTATGTCATCTGTGATTTCTTTCATCAGTGTTTTGTAGTTCTCCTTGTAGAGATCTTTCACCTCCTTGGTTAAATGTATTCCTAGGTATTTTAATTATTTTTTAGCTATTGTAAATGGGATGATGTTCTTGATTTGATTCTCAATTGTTGTTGGTGTATAGAAATGCTACTGATTTGTATACATTGATACTGTATCCTGAAACTTTACTGAAGTTGCTTATGAAATCTATGAATCTTTTGGAGGAGTTTTTATAATTTTCCAGGTATAAGATCATGTTATAAACAGATAATTTGGCTTCCTCTTTTCCAATTTGGATGCTTTTATTTTGTTGTCTTGCCTGATTGTTCTGGCTAGGACTTCCAGTACTATATTGAATAGGAGTGGTGAGAGTGGCCATCCCTGTCTTGTTCTAGTCTTTAAGGGAAATGTTTTCAACTTTTCCCTATTCAGTATGATGTTGGCCGTGGGTTTGTCATATATTGCTTTTATTATTTTGAGGTATGTTTCTTTGATACCTAGTTTGTCAAAGATTTTTTATCAGGAAGGGATGTTGAATTTTATCAAATACTTTTTCTGCAACTATTGAGATAATCATATTGTTTTTTGTTTTTAATTTTGTTTATGTGGTCAATAACGTGTTCATTTGCATATGTTGAACCACCTTTGCATCCCTGGGGGGGAAAAAAACCTAGTTGATCATGATAAGTTACCTTTTTGATATGCCGCTGGATTTGATTTGCTAGTATTTTCTTCAGGATTTTTGCATCTAAGTTCATCAGGAATATTGACCTGTAGTTTTCTTTTTTTCATTTTGTCCTTGCCTGATTTTCGTATCAGTGTGATACTTGTTTTGTAGAATGAGTTAGAGAGGAATCATTCTTCCTCATTTTATTTGGAATATTTTCAGTAAGATTGGTATGAGCTCTTCTTTGTACATCTGGTAGAATTCAGCTGTGAATCCATCTGGTTTTGGGCTTTTTGTTTTTTGTTGAGAGATATTTTATTACTGATTCAATTTCATTACTTGTTATTGTTACTTTCAGGATTTCTATAACTTCTTGGTTCAATCTTGGGAGGTTGTATGTTTCCAGAAATGTGTCAGTTTCCTCTAGCTTTATGAGTTTATGTGCATAGAAATGTTCATAACAGTCCGAAGATCTTTTTTGTTCCTGTGGTATCAGTTGTAACGTCACCTTTACCATTTCTGATTGTGCCTATTTGAAACTTTTCTCCTTTATTCTTGGTTAATCTAACTAGCTATCTATTAATTTTTATCCTATTAAATAACTAAGTTTTCATTACCTTGATCTTTTGTATCATTTTTCTGTCTCTACTTCATTTAGTTCTGCTCTAATAGTTGTTACCTCTGCCTCCCAGGTTCAAGTGATTCTCATGCCTCAGTCACTGAAATCCCAGTGAGTAGCTGGAATTATAGGTGTGCACCACCAGGGCTGGCTAATTTTTGTATTTTTATTAGAGACAGCGTTTCACCATGTTGGCCAGGTTAGTCTCGAGCTCCTGGCCTCAAGTGATCTACCTGCCTTGGTCTCCCAAAGTGCTGGGATAACAGGCGTGAGCCACCGTGCCAGGCCCAATCATTTTATATAGACATTTAACACTATAATCTTTTCTCTCAGCATGGCTTCGCTGTATTCCAGCAGTTTTGGTGTGCTGTGTCTCTATTTTCATGATTCAATTTTTTTTTTTTAATTTCTGCTTTAACTTTGTTGTTTACCCAAAAGTGAATCAGGAGCAAATCATTTAGTTTTCATGTATTTCTGTGTACTTTTGTGAGTTCCTCTTGGCATTGATTTCAAACTTTATTCCACTGTGATCCAAGAAGATACTTGATATAAATTTGATTTTATAAAATTTATTGACACTTGCTTTATGGCGAACTATATGATTGATTTTGAATAATATCCTGTTTGCAGATAAGAAAAATGTATATTCTGCAATTGTTGGGTAGAATATTTTTTAAATATTCTATTTAAAAAATGTCTATTAGATCCATTTGGTCTGGAATCCAGTTTAGGTGCAGAGTTTCTTCATTGAATTTTTGCTGCAGTGATCAGTCTAATGTTGTCAGTGGGGTGTTGAAATTCTCCACTATTATTGTATTGCTGTAAATCTCTTTTCTAAGGTTGAGTAGCAGTATTTTTATGAATCTGGGTGGTATGGTGTTGGGTACATATATATTTAGGATAGTTAAATCTTCTTGTTGTATTAAACCCTTTATAATCATATAATACCCTTCTTTGTCTTTCTTTACTGTTGTTGGTTTAAGTCTGTTTTATCTGATATAAAAATGGGTATTCCTGCTTGCTTTCATTTTCTATTTTTATGATATACCTTTTTCCACCCCTTTACTTGGAGTTGGTAGGTGTCTTTAGACATTAGGTGGGTCTATTTTAGGCAGCAGATGGTTGAGTCTTTTTTTCCCTTAATCCAATTTGCCAGTCTATATCTTTAAAGTGGAATATTTAGGCCATTTATTTTCAAGGTTAATATTGATATGTGAATTTTTTTTCTGTCATAGTGCTGTTAGCTCAATGCATCAGATTCTCAATTGTGTAATTGCTTTACAGGATCTGTGAGTTGTGTATTTGCTTTACAGGATCTGTGTGCTTTTATGATGGTGAGTGTTGTCCCTTTGTTTCCATTTTTAGAAATCCTTTGAGCATCTCTTGTAGGGCCAGTCCAGTGGTGAAGAATTCCCTTAGCATTTGCTTGTGTGGGAAATACTTCATTTCTCCTTCATTTATGAAGCTTATTTTGGTAGGATATAACATTTTTGGCTGACATTTTTTTCCTATATGGAGACTAAAAATAAGCCCCCAACCTTTTCTGGCTTGTAACGTCTTTGCTGAGAAGTCTGTTGACTATATGCCTTGGTGATGTTCATATTGTATAGTATCTCGCAGCTGTTCTCTGAATTTCTTTTATATGAATGGCTACCTCTCTAGCAAGATCAGGGAAATCTTTCTGAATTATTCCCTCAGAAACATTTTCCAAATCTCTTTTTCTTCTTTTCCACCAGAAACACCTGTAAGCCATAGGTTTGGTCCATTTACATAATCCCATATTTCTTGAAGGCTTTGTTCATTTTAAAATTATTTTTTCTTTATTTTCATCTGACTCAGTTAATCTGAAAGACAGGTCTGTATGTCTAAAATTGTTTATTCTGGTTGATCTAGTCTATTGTTGAAGTTTTCAACTGTAGTTTGAAATTCTATCAGTAAATTTTCATTACTAGAAGCTCTGGTTTTTTTTTGTTTGTTTGGTTTTAAATAAATATATATATCTAGTCTTTCATATCCTGAATTCTTTTTTTTATTTATTTGTGTCAATTTTCAACTTTCTCCTTGATTCAATTGAGCTTCTTTACAAATCATGTTTTCTTTAAACCTTTATTTTAGTTTCAAGGGTACAGGTGCAGGTTTGTTTTATGGGTAAATTATCTGTCATGGGGATTTGGAGTACGTATTATTATGTCACCAGGTAATAAGCATGGTACTCGATAGGTAGTTTTTTGATCTTCACCCTCCTCCCACCCTCCACCTTCAAGTAGGCCATAGTATCTATTATTCTCATCTCTCTTTGTGTCCGTGTGTACTCAAAGTTTAGCACTTACTTACAAGGGAGAACGTGCAGTATTTAGATTTTTGCTTCCTCATTAATTCACTTAGAATAATGGCCTCCAGCTCCATCCACATTGCAGCAAAGGAAACAATCTCACTCATTTTTATGGCTGCATAGTATTTCATCATTTATATGTATCATATTTTCTTTATCCAGTCTACCATTGATGGGAATCTAGGTTGATTCCATGTCTTTTCGATCATGAATACTGCTGCAATGAACATACACATGCATGTGTCTTCATGGTAGAACAATTTATATTCCTATGAGTGTATCTCCAATAATGGGATTGCTGGGTCAAATAGTACTTCTGTTTTAAGTTCTTTCAGAAATCTCCAGACTGGTTTCCACAGTGGCTGAACGAATTTACATTCCCACTAGCAGTGTATAAACATCCCCTCTTCCCCACTACCATACCAGCATATGTTATTTTTTGACATTTTAAAAATAGCCATTCTGACTGGTATGAAGTGGTATCTTACTTTGGTTTTGATTTGCATTACTCTAATGATTAGGGATATTGAGTATGTTTCCATGTATTTGTTGGCCACATATATGTCTTCTTTTGAGAAATGTCTGTACATGTCCTTTGCCCAATTTTTAATGGGGTTGTTAGTTTTTGCTTGTTAAGTCTTTAAGTTACTTATAGATTCTTTATATTAGACCTTTGTCAGATGCATATTTTGCAAATATTTTCTCCCATTCTCTGGGTTGTCTGTTTACTCTCTTGATAGTTTCTTTTGCTGTGTGGAAGCTCTTTGTTTTACTTTGGTCTTATTTGTCGATTTTTCGTTTTGTTACAATTGCTTTCAGTATCTTCATCATGAAGTCTTTGCTGAAAACTATGTCCAGAATGGTTTTGCCTAGGTTTTCTTCAGGGGTTTTTATAGTTTTAGGTTTGATATTTAATTATTTAATCCATCTTGAGTTGATTTTTGTATATGGTGTAAAGAAGGGGTCCATATTAAATCTTATGTATATGGCTCACCAGTTATCCCAGCACCATTTATTGAATATAAATTTCTTTCAGCTTTGCCTGTTTTTGTCAACTGTGTCAAAAATAAGGTGGTTGTAGGTGTATAGCTTTATATCTGGGTGCTCTATTCTGTTCCATTGATCTATGTGTCTGATTTGTACCAGTTCCATGCTGTTTTTATTACTGTAGCCTTGTAGTATAGTTTGAAATTGGGAAATATGATTCCTCCAGCTTTGTTCTTCGTGCTTAGAATTGCTTTGGCTATACGGGCTCTTTTTTTGGTTCCATCTGAAGTTTAGAATAGTTTATTCTAATTCTGTGAAAAATGTTGTTGGTATTTTGATAAGAATAGCATTGAATCTGTAACTTGCATTTGGCAGTATGGCCATTTTAACAATATTGATTCTACTTATCCATGAGCTTGTAGTTATTTTTTATTTGTTTGTGTAATGTTTGACTTCCTTCCACAGTGTTTTGCAATTTTTGTTGTTGGGATCCTTCAACTCTCTTATTAGCTGTATTCCTAAGTATTTTATTTTATTTGTGGCTATAGTGAATGGGTTTGTGTTCTTTATCTGGTACTGAGCTTGGACGTTGTTGATTTATAAAAATGAGACTTATTTTGTACATTGATTTTTTTTTGACAGAGTCTCACTCTGTTGCCCAGGCTGGAGTGCAGTGGAGTGATCTTGGCTCACTGCAACCTCCACCTCCTCAGGTTCAAGTGATTCTCCTGCCTCAACCTCCCAAGTAGCTGGGACTACAGGTGCACACTACCATGCCTGGCTAGTTTTTGTATTTTTAGAAGAGATGGGGTTTTGCCATATTAGCCAGGCTGGTCTGGAACTCCTAACCTCAAGTGATCCACCTGCTTCAGCCTCCCAAAGTGCAGGGATTATAGGCATGAGCCACCTTGCCCGGCCTGATTTTTTAATACTGAAACTTTGCTGAGGTTCTTTATCAGATCTAGGAGCTTTTGGGCAGAGACCACTGAGTTTTCTACATATAAAAGTATAAAGTCTGCAAACAGATAGTTTGACTTCCTTTCTTCATATTTGCATGCCTTATATTACTTTCTCTTGCCTGATTGATCTGACTAGGACTCCCAGTACTATGTTAAATAGGAATGGTGAGAGTGGACCTGCTTGCCTTGTGGCCATATGCAAGAGGAATGCTTCCAGCTTTTGCCCATACAGTATAATATTCACTGTGAGTTTGTCATAAATGGCTCTTATTGTTCTGAGGTATTTTCCTTCAATGACTAGTTTGTTGATGGGTTTTCACATGAAGGAATGCTGCATTTTATCAGAAGCCTTTTCAGCATTTATTGAAATAGTCATATGGTTTTTGTTTTTAGTTCTGTTCATGTGATGAATCATATTTCTTGATTTGTGTATGTTGAACCAACTTTACATCTCAGGGATAAAGCATACTTGTTCATCATCAGTTATCTTTTTGATGTGGTGCTGGATTTGTTTCTGTAAAATTTTTTGAAGATTTTTGCATCTATATTCATGAAAGTTGTTGGCCTGATGTTTTCTTTTATTGTTATGTCTTTACCAGGTTTTGGTACCAGAATGATGCTGGCCTCAAAGAATGAGCTAGGTAGAAGTCCTTCCTTCTTGATTTTTTGGGAATAGTTTCAGTACAAGTGGTACCAGCTCTCTCTTATACATCAGGTAGAAGCCAGCTATGAATCCATTTGGTCCTGAGCTTTTTCTGCTTGGTAGGCTTTTTATTCCAGATTCCATTTCAGAACTCATTAGTGGTCTGTTCAGAGTTTCAATTTCTTCCTGGTTCAATCTTGGGAGGTTGTATGTTTCCAGGAATTTATCCAATTCTTGTAGATGTTCTAGTTTTTGTGCATAGAGTTATTTGTAACAGTCTCTGAGGGATGTTTGTATTTCTGTGGGGTCACTGGTCTTTTTCATTTCTGATTGTGTTTGTTTTTATTTTCCCTCTTTTTTTCTCTATTAGTCCAGCTAGTGGCCTATTAATCTTGTTTATTTTTTTAAATAGCTAACTGCTAGTTTCATTGATCTTTTGTATGTTTTTTTGTGTCTCAATTTCATTCAGTTCAGCTCTGATGTTGGTAATTTATTTTATTATGCTAGCTTTCAGGTTGGCTTGATCTCATCATTCTAGTCCTTCTATGTGTGATGTTAGGTTGCTAATTTGAGATCTTTCTAACTTTTTGATGGGGGATTTAGCAGTATAAACTTTCCTCTTAACATGGCGTGAGCTGCGTCCTAGAGATTCTGGCATGTTGTATCTTTGTTTTCAAAGAATTTCTTGATGTCTGCCTTAATTTTACAGTTTACCCAAAAGTCATTCAGGAGCCGGTTGTTTAATTTCCATGCAATTGCATGGCTTTGAGCTCTCTTCTTACTTTTGATTTCTATTTTTATTGCACTGTGGTTGGTATGATTTTGATATTTTTAAAATTTGCTGACAATTGTGTTATTATCAATTGTGTGGTCAATTTTAGAGTATGTGCCATGTGCAGATACGAAGAACATATATTCTGTTGTTTTTGCAAGAAGAATTCTGTATATTTCTGTTTGTTTCATTTGGTCAAGTGTTGATTTCAAATCCCAAATATCTTTGCTGGTTTTCTGCCTTGATGATTTGTCTAATACTGTCAGTAGTATATTGAAGTCTCCCAATATTATTGTGTAGTTATTTAAGTCTCTTCAAATGTGTCTAAGAATTTTTAAATGAATATGGGTGCTCCTGTCTTGGGTGCATATATATTTAGGACAATTCATATTTTAAATTATTGCCCATTTGTTTCAGAATTGTCAGTTTGGTTGGGATCCATTGCTACGGTGCTGTTCAGATCCTTTGGCAATGTCAAAAACACTCTTTTGGTACTGTTGGATTTATTGCACTGATTCCCTCTCATCTGGAGTAGTTGTTTCTTATTTTTGAAATCGCTGCAGTTTTAATGGGACTTTTTATTGTTTATTCTTTTCTCTCTTGAGGGTGTCGATGGAGTGTATGCTGTATATGATTAACTGACTTTGCTTCTGGGTGTTTTCATGAGGCCACATCTTTGTATAGATTCCTTGGTATAGATACCTTTTGTGTGGTGGTTTTCTCAAATGCTGCTTGTTGTATTCATGTGGACATACAAGCCAACACTATCTACTGTGGGGCTGGGAGTGTGGAGGTCTCAGGTAGCTTAATTAGCTCAAACCCTAGCACTATGCCTTTCTTTCAAAAGGTTTTGGTTTTTTGTTGTGTGTGTGTGTGTGTGTGTGTGTGTGTTGCAGTTCAATCTCCAGTCCAATAGGTGGTGTTTAATAGTAAGACTTGGTTCACTCTTGAGTAATTTCAATGAAGAGTGGAAGCACCCCCCTGATGGGTGTGACAGGGAGATGTCATGGGGGGGATATGCTGAGGCCTGAAGTGGGTGAGGTGGGGGCTGCACCAGTTCCTCCTCCTGGGCAGGCAGGAATACAGTGCAATTCATTCCCCTATCATGTCTCTATTACATGGCTCCAACCTTCAGTTCAGTTACACTGTCCTGTATCTCCAGGTGCAATGTGACTGAGGTCCACAGGAAATACCCATCTTGTAGCTACTACTGAAACGGCCTTGGGGCAGAATCTCTTCTCCTATCCCCAAACAGAAAGCTCTGCAGCTGTTCCATGTTCCATTGCAGGGCCCACGCTGCTCTGTGTAGGAGGGGTAGATGAGTCCCACCCTTCGCACAAGTGCAGGTTGTGGACATCCTTTTAGTGGGGATGCAGCCCCTGCAAATAGAGCTGGAACGCTATCTCCAAGTGCACATCCAGGCCCCCAGTGAGAAAAGCCTTAGGTGCATCTACAGCAGTGGTCAGGAGGAGCGGGAGGTGAACCCCTCTCTACCTCTGCTACTGGCCTCTGGTACTGCCTATCTGATGAAGTGGAACAATGCGCCCCTCCGTCAGAGATCCACACCAAGCCTGGGTTTCCTTTGTCTCATGTGACACTTTGGTATGCTCCCCCTTCCCCTAGAAGCAGCCTGTGTCGAGGGCTGTATCTCTGGGGATTCTACAGTACGTCATGCATGGGCCAGTCAGAGTGGGTTATGGTGTATGTTTGCTGGGAATCTGGTGATGCGGTGACACGAGGGCTGGGATTCTCCCAGCAGAGTAGTAACCCACAATGGGTGCACAAACAATATGCCACTCACCGCCACGTCAGTTTGGGTTTACGGGGTGTGCGAGTGCACCTGCACAAGCTGGATGTCCGGTGAAATGGCCACTGACAGCATTGATCGGACTTCCGGAGGCAGAAATGCTCTCTGACCATTCAGCAGTCAGCAGTCTGTTGCAAGGCTGAGGGGAGCAAAGATGTACCCCCAGCTACCTTTTCTATGGGACTACAAGCTGCTCAGTGATCAGTCTCTGCCAGAATCCTGCTGCCTTCCATTTCTGCAGCCCAGCTTCTTCCTATGGGTTCTCCGACAGGTTTCAGCACTCTTTCCTCAGGTTTCTCCTCTAGCCATGACCTGTAACTTTAATCTTCTTTCTGAGGAGATCTGGCATCGAACACCTCTAGTCAGCCACACTGGAAAGAACAAAAACAGAAACAACCTCTTTTTACTTTTTAAAGTGAAAACTCAAAATGGAAACACAAGCAAATACATTACTCAAACATTTGATTCAGTGGCTAACAAAAGACATTTACAAATGCTTGTTTTTTTTTTTTTTACTTAGAATCTATATTGTTACCTGCTACAATATAAGTAATTTGAATACACTGTCCTTCTAGCTGATTTTAAGCTGTATTGTCCAATTCTTAAAAGGCCCTTGTGAATGTGAGTGACTTGTGGGACTGTGGAGAAATGGCAGCAAATTTACTCTGCAAGTTTACCTGAGGGCATGGATCTGTGTACTGCAGAGTACCACGAGATAGTAATGGACAGTGTGAAGAGAAGAAAACCCCAAAATGAAGACATTTTTGTTGACCTTCTCTGTACAAAAACATGGAGGCTTTATCGACTATAAGGATGTTTAATGTTTCAGTGGATCGAGTCTTATAAAATATGATGATTAATGCAGGTAATCCAAAAGAATCTAGTAAAGAATGATGGAAACTTATGTCTTAGTGAGCAGATGGAAAGCAAGATAATAAAATAGTAGCTTTTTTATTTACCAACAATATTTAGTTTTAGAAAAATTGGTTAAAAATCCACTCAGAGGAGAAAATGTTTTTAAAAATATTTCTTTTCTTTTTGTACTGAGTGTTATTGACTGTGGGTACTTTATTATTATTATTATTATTATTATATTTTAAGTTTTAGGGTACATGTGCACAACGTGCAGGTTTGTTACATACGTATACATGTGCCATGTTGTGTGCTGCACCCATTAACTCGTCATTTACATTAGGTATATCTCCTAATGCTATCCCTCCCCCCTCCCCCACCCCACGACAGTCCCCGGTGTGTGATGTTCCCCTTCCTGTGTGCATGTGTTCTCATTGTTATTTTTAAAAATATTCCTAGTTATTTCAACTAGGAATCAGATTGGCAAGGATTAGTCAGAATTTCTTTTAAAAACTTCCCCCCAAAAATAAAAAAAATTAAAAACTTCCCAATTGTTGTGAATATAAAAATCAACTACAGTGAATCAATATATATTTATTATCCTAGCAGATCTGGTACTGTAAGGAAGTTAATTATATTAAATATTCCAAAGTTACCTTTTTAATACTAAAAAAATGATATTACGTTTCATCAAAACAATAACCAAAAAATGGTAAAGAACTAAAGGAAAATCTCCAAAAATTGGAGAGGGATATTTGTCTTCAAACTTTATTCTAAAGCTAAAATAATTAAAACAATTGCGGCATCAGCTTAAGAACTGAGAAAAAACAAGGAAGCAGAATCAGCAGTTCAAATGCTGTGGGCAAAGTTTATAACTGCAGGAAAAAAATGTTAAAACTTCATTCCCTGCATACATGAAAATGCTTTTCGCGTGTGCTAAAGAGTTGAATTTCAAAACTAAAACCGTAACAACCTAAATCCCTATAAGAATATTCACAGTGTATAGTGAGCTATTGAGATTATAAGAAATACTCTGGAGAATATTCTGAATATAGTTACATTTTAATAGTAAATCTCATATATTATATATATGGAAGGATATATTCAGGCTATTAATACCGTGTATGCTGGGGCTGTAGTGGGTAGGGGATGGCTGGTGATGAAGGTGGACTATGACTTCGTCAATGTGGAAACATAACATAGGACATGTATAGATGATAGGCTTAATTGCATAGAAACCTCAAACTCAGGAAAATAAATCAAAAGCCAATGAGCCATATGAGAAATTCTAATTATATAGGGATATGGAAAAGGCATATCTTACAATTAATAGCTTCCCAGTATAAAAATAATAATTAGTTTGAACATATCATGGGAAAGCTAATTCACATTAGAAAGAAAAAATGTATCAAATATTTCTTTCCTTTCAGGGCAAACACAACTACATTTTCCATGGAGAGATCAAAGAAGGCATAACCATGTGGATAAACTCTCATGATCTTAGATAGAAATACTTACTAATAAAATGCAGGCCCTCCAGCATAAGAATTATTCACAAAGATTTATCACTGCCTTATTCTGGGAGGAGTAGAGCTGGTACAGAAAATACAATTTTCAGAACCAGCCCTTCAAAATCTGTTTGTAGTTTTGCCCAAGTTCTGCTTTAATAACTTATGAAATAGAATATGGATCAAAGAGTGATAGAGGGAGGAAGTGGGAGAAAATCCAAAATTATAAAGCTTAGTTAGCAGTTATAACTTTGAGAACAACCAGTTTTACAAAGATTGATAGATTGATTTCCCAAGGTTTGACATGACCTAAGTTCCATGTCATATAATGACTTGAAGAGATAGGAATTTAAAATGTGAAGCATATCAAAATTTAAAGCACTTTACAGAATTTTTGCAGGGTTTAAATTGAACCTATGCAAAACAAGAAAATAAATTGTGAAAAAAGAAATAACTCACTACATAAGAGTTGATACATTTCCTCGAATTCACTTATATATTTATGTTAATTAAATACCAATGTGATGTATTTTTGGACCATCAAAACAAACTGATATTAAACTTCATCTGGAAGTGTACATGAACTTCAATATGCAATGCCAACCTCTATTAAAAACAGCAATGAGGGACAGTTCTCATAATAGATACTAAAGACAAAATAATAATAAAGCAATTTAGTATTTATTCCAAACCACAGACATAAACTGATGGCTCAAACGATGTTGGAAAAATTCAGCATTTGCAGATTTATAAAAATTAAATTTTCACTTCACAATTGCATTTTGCATTGTCAGAGTAATAATTTTAGAATATTAATCCCTGAAAAAACAGATTGACAGAACTATTATGTATAATTAGGTGAGAAATGCAGCTTATGCATAAATAGCACAAATAAATAGCACAATAGCACTTCCGCGGAAACAAGCCACAGTCACACACTCCCTTCTCTAATTGTCGGCAGGTTGATTATGCATTTTTTCTAGCACAGAAAATTGTGGAAGTATGCTGTTTGTACATTTAACATTAAGTTAGGGCAACAGAAATGGGGAGTTGTAGGAGGATACATTTTTTACTTTTTATGACCAAATATTGTAATTTATAATTAAAAAGTAAAGAAAATATGTTTTAAAAACATTTAGAGCAAACACAGGCCATTTTATCGTTTTGTGACTTTAACTCCTCATGTAAATTTTCCAAACCAATCATATTGTTATGTGTCTGAAGGAGTTAAAAATATGAGCTTTCAGAATAAAAAAGACTAATAAGAATGGAGTTTACTGAATGATCGTATCCATATTCTAAATGCCTAAACCTGGATTAGTTTATTTAATCTTAAGAATGAACCCAAGGCATGTATTATGGATTATACTCCTGCTGATCAAATGAGATAATACATGTAAAAATTCTTGCAAATATAAAAACTCAGAGAAGGAGGGTACATGCTATTACAAAGAAAATTTTATATTTGGCTTGTATTTGGATAATTTATAATATGGTGAATTCTTTTAAATATATACTTATAAACCTGCCAGAAGTTAAGTACTCTGAGTACTCCTTAATGGTAAGACTAACCTACACTACTAAGTTGCAGTTTTTTAATAAGAAAACATTAGTGAGTTTTGTATTCACCTTGAAGGGGGAGATTAATAAATTTTCTTTACCTATCTGCCTTTTTTTCAACTATCTAGTATAAGTATTATTTTTGTATATAAAAATATTTAAGAATTTTTATTTGAAGCAAATATAGAATGATTGGTTGTTTTGGACTTTGTCTCATCACTTAAATATTCATCACATTCAAATTTTTTTGTGTATGAAGATAGAAAAAAATCTCTTAGCATCAATAATAATGAAAACGAGATAAACATTAACTTTCACTGTGTGCCTATTTACATGCTCAGCAGCTTGCTAGCTGCTTCCATGTATAGTATTCCATTAAATTGTGACCAAAAAAAACCCTGGTGCAAAGAATATGATTACATCTGCATCACAGATTTTCCCGAGGATCGAGTAAGTCAACAAAAGGAAAAACACTTAGGTGACCGAAAAATGGTTGAAAAACATAATCCTTTTTATTATGACAAAATTTTGCTCCATGTGTAACAAAACACAGTTCTTTACTACGAGTATGTTGAATTATTATTCAACACCTCTACATCTGCCTTGCCATGGTTTAGGTGGCTTGGGAAATCCTTCCTTGTTATGGATAATGTTTAATTTGACATGTCAGCTTGGCTAGGATATGGTGCCCGGTTGTTTGGTCAAACTCCAGTCTAAATGTTGCTGTGGAGGTATTATTTTACATATGATTAACATTTAAATGAGTCGATTTTGAGTAGTGCCAATTACTATCCATAATGTGGGTGGGCCTCATCCAATCACTTGACTGCCTTAAGAGCGAAGACTTCAGTTTCCTGAAGAAGAATCAAATCTACTTCAAGACTGCAATAGAGAAATCCTGCCTGAATTTGTAGCTTGCCTGTCCTGTCCTGCAAATTTTGAACTCAAGACTGCAATAACTCTTTCCTGAGTGCCCGGCCTGCTAGCCTGTTCTAAATAATTTAGACTTGGCCTTGTTAGCCCAAACAATCATGAGTCAATTCCTCAAAAATCAATCAATCAATAATTCAGTCTCTCTTTCACTATATATATATGTGTGTGTGTGTGTGTGTGTGTATTTGTGGTGTCTATAAATGTATACATAGAGTGAGCTGGTTTTCAGGAAGCTGTCCAAGGAACTCTGGAACAGCAGAGAGCAAAATCAAAATCCATCTAACCATGCAAATGAGGACACAGATTTCCTGGATATTAAATAAGGGTAAACATTTCTTATTGAAATAATAAATGTTGAGGGATAGCTAAGAGACTTGTATCCAAGAGCAAGGCTATTGGATAATTTCTTATATATGGGCATGTGAAGTGCACAGGGATAATAATGAGTGTTTCAGGACTTCAGTTTACATTCATGAGTTATTAAACGTGTAAATTATCATAAACCTGGAATCAAATGATAACACATTACTAGCTAAATAGAAATATTAAAATTCCCAATGGTTAGCAGTATGTATTTCAAAATGGTTATTAGGTAATGAACCAACTCATAATGGAAACAAAATGTATAATATCTCAGAGAAAAAGTTAGGAATAATTTTGGAGAATCTATGAAAAAAATGCAAATGATAGGGTGTAGCTCAGTGTCCCCACCCAAATCTCATATCAAAGTGTAATCCCCAGGTGTTGGGGAGAGACCTGGTGGGAGGTGATTGGATCATGGAGGTGGTTTCCCCCATGCTGTTCCCATGAGTGAGAGAATTCTCAGGAGATCTGATGGTTCAACAGTGGCAGTTTCACCTGCTCCCTCTCTCTCTCCTGCCACCTTGTGAGGAAGGTACTTGCTTCTCCTTTGCCTACCGCCATGATCGTAAGTTTCCTGAAGCTTCCCCAGCCGTGCAGAACTGTGAGTCAATTAAAACTCTTTTCTTCATAAATTACCCAGTCTCCGGCAGTTCTTTATAGCAGTGTGAGAATGGACTAATACAATAAATATTTTATGAGGGCTATAAAAAGCAATCCAAATAAATGAATATATTATTATGATCTTTACTGGGATGATTAAATATTATAAATTACATTAAAATTCCTTGGGGAGGGGAGAAATCAAATAGATTATGTTAAAATTCATCTGCATAAATAAATTGTTGAGGGTTTTAAAGAAAAGCTTCAAGAAGGCTATGTCATAGAATATGGCATTATTTTAGTGAAATCATGATAGTTTAAACCATGGATATGCCTCGAAAAATTGAATGAGTATTAAATGGAACAGAATTATCAACTCGAATGATACCAACCAACATGAACATGTGTGGAAAATACACAAGTTCTTCAGTTACTTTCCATATTGTACTAAATACTTTCCATGTTAACTAAAGGATTAAACATTAAATCATAAACCATGAATTTTGATGGAGAAAGGTATATCTGTCTGTATTAGGAAAAGGGCAGACAACATACATCTATCCGTATTGGGCAAAGCACAGAAAAAAATGTAAATAGAATAATTCAAGTTTTAAACAAATGAAAACCACCAACTCTGTCATATATGTGTTTGTGCACTTATACATGTTTGGTTGTGCACAGAAAATATGCATCAGGCATTTGCTGCTGATTAGGAGGAAGATAAGAATGAAAAAAGGAAAATTAGAAACTCTTAAAATTCATCTTTGCATTATTTCCCTATCTATCATGACAAAATATTGTTTTGATATTTTAAAATACTGATGAAAACATCTAAATAAAAATAACTTCAACCAGGTGTGGTGGCTCATGCCTGTAATACCAACATTTTGGGAGGCAAAGGCAGGAGGATCCCTTGAGCCCAGGAGTTTGAGACCAGACTGAACAACATAGGGAAAGCCCATCTCTAACAACAACAACAAAAAGGCAGCCATGGTGGTGCATGCCCATAGTCCCAGCTACTTGGGAGACTGAGGTAGAAGGATCACTTGAGCCCAGGAGGTCAAGGCTGTTGTGAGCTGTGATTATGCTACTACACTCCAGCCTGGGCAACAGAGTGAGACCCCATCTCAAACACACACACACACACAAAGAAAAACAACAACAAACAATTCTTTAATTTGGGCTGCTCACATTGTGTGGGTCTTGAAAAAATCACTAAACGTTCTCAAATCTGAAGTTTCCTCACCTTTTGCAAGCATATGATAAGGCAAAATATTAGTAATAATAACAATAATAACCATAACCAATGTATACTGAGTGTTTACTAATGTATCAGACATTTTGCTGAACCATTTCCTGTGCTTTATTTCATTGAGCTTCATTACAATCCTACCAAATAAATACTTTGATTTCCCTTCTTTCAAGAGATTTATCTTGAGGATCAAATGAAGCAATGTAAGTAAAAATTTTTTTGTAAAGTTTAATTCTAGAAACAAACAGAAAGAGATTATATTATCAGGACTTTTGAATCTATGCCCAAGAAAACCCATTCATAGATAAGATATTGGCATCCTATTTAGAATATAGAAGCTTACATACCAGATTTTGATTCTATGAATAAATCTGCCTGCTGGCTAAGTTTGCACACATTTCTCAGCCTCCAGTCATAAATCATGATTTTCGTATCCCAAGGTCAGTAATGAATTTGAGTTTTCTGTGGCTGTTATTGCATCTCTGGTTCAGCCTTTCTCTTTACGCCTTCCACCTAAGGGACCAGATCCCATAGTACAGCTGGATGTCCCACGTCTAAAAGATGAGATCGCCGGGTACAAGCCAAGTAGGGGGCATAGAAAAAAAAATGCTCTACTTGATTTGTTCTATTTGGCAGCGCATGCCACTGGTCAATACTTAATACTTCTATTTTTAACCTTGCTTTCAATGTTCCATAATTAACACAGTTAATAGGATTACATACCTAAAAGTACATGGTAAGTATTAAGATAGGAAAAGTAAGACGGGCATTCAGCAAAAAGAAGTATGTAAAAATTGTTAGTTTTTTTACACTACACTAGTATTAATCAGTTGAAAAACAATCCATTGACAACAAGGATAAGGATAAAATATCTAGAATAAAATGGTCAAGTTATTCTAGAAATATATAAAGTGCTTGTTCTACCATCATTTCCTGAAAGGTATTAAAGAAGGCTTGAATATTGGCATGTGTTCCCTTCATTCTAGAAGACTGGTTATTGTGAAGATGTCAGTTTTTCTCAAATTCATTTATATTTTTGCTCATTAGAAACTCCAAAGTGACATTTTTTTTAAAAAGTGGAACACAGAAGCCGAATCTACGTTTTAATTTTTTTATATGGACAATTTCAAACACATGTGAAAATAGTTAATAGTTTACCCACCATCCAGCTGTAATGATAGTCAACTCATGATTAAATATTTCTTTTATACTCCATCTACTACCCTTCCAGTGATCCTATTTTTGGATTTCTTTGAAACAAATCAAACCATAGCATATCACATCAAATCATCAAATGTGACTTTTTTTTTTTTTTTTTTTAGTGATCCAAGATTTTTATTTAGGGAACAGATGAAGCAAAATGGCAAGGCATGAGAAAGTAAAGAGTGCTAACTAAACAACCACAGAGGAACGTTCAAAAATCAATTAATTACTCTATCACATCAACAGCTAAAGAAGAAAAATCCTAAGATCGTATCAATAAAAGCAATTAGCAAAATCCAATACTTATTCATGATAAAAACTCCCAGCAGACTAACAATAGAAAAGAACTTCCTCACCTTGATAAATGTTGTTGCATTTTTCTTAAAAATAAAAAGGTTTCATTATTAAAGAAATATAGTACAATAGGAAATCCATAAGGAGCATTTGTCATGTCAGATTCTAAATGACACTGTAATTATGTATTATTTTTTTAAACCTGGTATTGGCTCCAAAATTGACAGAAATTTCACTGAAATGAAATTGTGAACCAGGAAAAATTAGAGATTTGCACATTTAAAAAAATGTAACCCTAACTTCACAGCATACAACAAAATATCATTCATGGGAATTACAGGAGAATATTAACAACAACAACAACAAAAAAAAACGAAGGAAATCTACTGACCTATAAGATGCCCATGATGTATTGCAATGTGCTGACGGGAAGTCGTAAAACAATCTATTTTTGTAGATCTCATTGTTTATAAAAAGCAACAACCCAGGAAATGATCTTGACTTAAATATATGTGTGTTGATAAATATTTGCTTGAGCCCCCCCCCCCCAAAAAAAACACACAGATGTTTATGTAAATGCTGTCAGCATTTTTGAGAATCCTGTCAAGGAAATGAGAATGAAGCAATATAGGGGGAGATTGTACAATTATTCTTTATCTACTTTTGCACTATTTGGATAATTAGGATGAGGGAGCATCGCTTCTGTCATAAAACGTTGTAGAGAAAACAATTTGATAAGAAAAGCAAATCTAGGCCACTCTTGGCCTGAGATTAAGATCATACATGTCACATCATACATGTCACTTAGCCTCTGGCAAGGTTCAAGTTTTATGATCGGAAAAAAAGGAACACATGGACATAGTGAAAGTAATAACAAAAAAAGAAAGAGAAACAAAAAATAACCTTTCCTGATTGATTGCTTCCATTTCAAACAGTGACTAAATGCTTTTATGAGCATCATCCCATCCAACCCTCACACAAAACCCTTTGCAGAGAGAGGGTGTTATTACCTCTGCCTCCCATATTTGTTATGGGGCTCAGATTAGCCAATACGTATCACCATATTTCAGCAAATTGTAACATCAGAGCACTGTAGGTCATTTACATATCAAAAATTCAATCTCATGCCCAATACACGTTTACTTACAACACGTTAGCTTCCTATTTGAAAACTACCGGTCAAAACTCCAGGAGGTAAGAGCTTTGAATAAACCCTCTTATTTGTTAAAATTAAGCTCTAACTTGTAAACTGCAATTTTTATACCAGAATTTGTTCAGTGAATTTTGGGTTTCATGTTGCTTCCAGGGCAACCCTGGATGAATTTGGCTGAAAAATCCCTATAAACTGTTTTCTTTAGAGTCCAAAGCTGAAAAATGATTTTGGAATCTTGTTTCCAGCACTATAATGGTCAAGGTAGGCACTTGCTACTCAAAGTGTGGTTCAGGGATTAGCAGCAGAGGTATCCCCTGAGAACTTGTTAGAAATCTAGAATCTTTGGTTCTATTCCAGATATGCTTAATAATAATCTGAATTTTAAACGAGATCTCCAGGTGATTTCTATCAACATTAAAGTTTGAGAATCAGTGGTGTAGATGACCTAAAACAGCTACCCATCTCTGATAAACTTAGAAATATGAGATAAAATAAAACTTTTTTCAATGTAGAGCTGAGCTCATAATAAAGTAGGGATAGAAATTCATAAAGGAGAAATTACCAGAGGGTAAATGGAAATGAACAGTGGGTGATGGGAGGGCCCATGCTAGACTCACTAACCTAAAGTCTTGAGTTTTTACAATAGCAAGCAGGACAGGAACATGGCTGTAAGCCCAGGCAAGGTAGGAAATTAGAACAGAATTCTCACAATAAAGACACCTAATCAAATTAAAGATTCATTCCTAATAATACTCTTAAAAGCTAGAAATAGAAGAAAACTGACTTATAAATATATCTGCCAAAAAGCTACAGTAAATATATGTTTAATGTGAAATATTTGCTCTTAGTGATATGATTTGTCTTTGTGTTCCTAGCCAAATCTCATGTTGAATTCTAATCTCCAATGTTGTGGGAGGGGCCTGGTGGGAAGTGATTGGATTATGGAGGTAGATTTCCCCCTTGCTGTTCTCATGATAATGGGTGAGTTCTCATGAGATCTGGTTGTTTCAAAGTGTGTAGCACTTCCCCCCTTTACTCTCTCTGTCTCCTCCTGGCCATGTGAATATGTGTTTGCTTCCCCTTTGTCTTCCACAATGATTGTAAGTTTCCCGAGGCCTCTCCAGTTATGGCTCCTGTCCAGCATGTGCAACTGTGACTCAATTAAACCTTTTTTCTTCAAAAGTTACCCAGTCTCAGGTAGTTCTTTATAGCAGTGTGAGAACAAACTAATACACTTAATATTAATAACAAGAAAATTATGAAGAGATATTCCACATCATTAGTGATCAGAGAAACGCAAATCAAGACCACTAAGAGCATATCAAGATAGGTTACAGTCTAACTCTATCTTATTGCCACAAATATAAAAGACTGATGACACCTAGTGTTGGCCAAGATGTGAATGCACAACATTTTACCCACTGCTTGGTGGCGGTGTAACCCAGTGGAGTTAGTTTGGGAAATGGTTTAACATAATCTCCTAAAGCTGAACTCTTGTATAAAATATGGCCCGTTGATTTCCCTCATAAGAAAAAACAAGAAAAACTCTTTATACATGGACAATAGGGAATATATATAAGACTGCTTATATATAATAATAATTATTATTATTGTGTTATTATTATTATTACTATTGCTGTCCTAGCTTTTGGTTTTAGTGATAGGCTTTTGAGTGTTTTTATTGATGTCCTAGATTTTGTTTTCAGTGATAGTCTTGTGAGTGTTTCTTAATTATTTAAAACAACTAATTAAATAATTAAATAAAAGCAGAAGATTGCTTATATGTAATTATATTATTATTATTATTACTCTTGCTTTCCTAGATTTTGTCTTCAGTTATAGGCTTGTGAGTATGTCTTAATTATTTAAAACAACTAACTAAATAATTAAATAAAAGCAGCCATGGACTGATATTGAGAGCATGTCATACACAAAGAATTAGGACTATTCTAATTCTCTGAATCTGAAGTGCAATAAATACTATCAATTTTTATTATACATAAAACAATAAATATATGCGTTTCAAGTGACTGCATGGATAACTGAGCAGGATCAGGCAGCAAACTCTCTTGTCAATAGTTGACCTGAAAGACCAGACTCTAGAAAAAAGAATGAGTGTCTCAGGTATAAAAGATAAGGGTTGAGTTGTTATCAGGGGTATGTATTCTCAAAAATACTGTCGTCTTCTTCATAGGCATGTTATAGTACTTACTGTTTACAATGCTATTTTATCCCTAGCCTAATCATTTTGAAATGGTTTTATATATAGATATAAATACGGATACACATTCTAAAATAAGAAAATCAACCAGAACATATACTATTTTAGTTTCTTCAGCAGACAGGGCAGACAGAAAAAGACGGAAAAAATAAGTGATGACTTCTCTATGTAACATCAACGACTCTCTTGAATAAACAATACTTCCAGACTTTTAAGGTTTTATATTTTAAAATATAAAATATATTCTTCTTTTAAATATATTTAAAATATAAAAGAAAATTCTTCAGGTTATACACATTAGATAGATCACACCCCTTTGTCATAATTCCCTACTTAATTGGAACAAAAGGCAACAATGAGAAGTTTTAAAAGCATATACTTGCAAGATAAAGGAAGAGAAGGCTTAGGAATAATATTTTGGACGTAGAAATGTTGATAAGTGACCAGGAAATGATTGAGCAGAGAGAGAAAGCCCTGTGCAAACCTAGCAATGGGGAATCCCAGAAGCAGGTTGGTTTGGAAGGCCTTAAATATAAAAATTCCCAAGGAATTGGAAATATCAGGTACTTGTGACAATGAAGGTGAAGGTAGGGCGAAACACAAGAATATTTGCTAAATGTCCACACAGGAAGCAGTTAGGACACCATAAACCACACACGCTCATATTCTCCCATGGGCAATAAGCCCGGAGAGCAGCATACGAGGTTAGAGTACGGTGACAAAGAACTCCAGAAGTGATGTTTCCCAGAACAAGTTTCAAATGAAAGATGGATCGATATTTCTGAAAGTATTGTGAGGAGATTTATGTCTCTGTTGAGAGTATGGGATAAATTAGTGATAGATACATACAAAACTATAACAAGACAGTTGTTAACTGCGAGGGAGAAAACAAGCACAAGCCCTATAAAAAAGGAAATATAATCAAAGTATATTACTCGGTTTCGATTTGAACAATGTTTGCATTTCTCTAATAGATTAACCACTCACTATTGTCCTAACAAAAACATATTATATTGGCTGGATGATATATTGGCTTGATGATATATAAACATGTTATATTGGCTGGATGAGATGAGAAAAAGGACATGTAGTGAGGGTTGTTTTTGTGGTGATGGTGGTGCTGTGTGTGTGTGTGCGTGTGTGTGTGTGAGAGAGAGAGGGGGGAGAGAGAGGAAGAGAGAGAAAGAGAAAGAGAGAGAAACAGAGAGAGAGAGAGAAAGAGAGAGAGAAACTTATCTTCTTCCATAGTAGCAAAAGCCAATAGTGGCCGTTTAGAACTTAAAAATCAATAAGTAATAGTATAAGCATATTTTTCTAAAACATGGATACAAATTCCCAAAGAAACAATGGAAAAGTGGCTTCATCTAGAGAAGAAGGATCAGGGTTAGAGAGAGTGGTTCAAAATGATACTGTAATGTTTATTACAAGCCTTGTGGAATTAGTTTTTTGAAAAACATGTAATTTTGATATAGATTTTTTAAGTTGACCAAACCAAGAATATCTTGGCAACAGAAACAAGATTTATATGGTTATGAACAGATATATCAATAAGTTTCCAGAATATATGTAAAAGAAATGACAGATTATTATGTAGGAATTTTTATAAGTGATTTAAATAATTGTGTACACATACATGAACCTAACTTAGAAGAATGAGTGCCATGTACAAGGTAATTATATTAAATACGAGGGATGTGAGAAACTGATGTTAAAATACATCTGTACAAATAATTTAAAGCGATAACAATTTCATGTCTTTACTATTATTTATTTACTTATTTAATGTTTAGAGACAGGGTCTCTGTTACCCAGACTAGAGTGCAGTGGTGTGATTTTAGCTCACTGCACACTCGAAATCCTGAGCTCAAGTGAACCTCCCACCGCCACCTCCCAAGTAGCTGGGACTATAGGCACGCAGCACCACATTCTGCTAATTTATTTTTATTTTGTGTAGAGATGGAGTCTTGCTATGTTTCTTTTTATTATTATTATACTTTAAGTTCTAGGGTACATGTGCACAATGTGCAGGTTTGTTACATATGTATACATGTGCCATGTTGGTGTGCTGCACCCCTTAACTCGTCATCTAGCATTAGGTATATCTCCTAATGCTATCCCTCCCCCCTCCCCCCACCCCACAACAGGCCCCGGTGTGTGATGTTCCCCTTCCTGTGTCCAAGTGTTCTCATTGTTCAATTCCCACCTGTGAGTGAGAACATGTGGTGTTTGGTTTTCTGTCCTTGCAATAGTTTGCTGAGAATGATGGTTTCCAGCTTCATCCATGTCCCTAAAAAGGACATGAACTCATCCTTTTTATGGCTGCATAGTATTCCATGGTGTATATGTGCCACATTTTCTTAATCCAGTCTATCATTGATGGACATTTGGGTTGGTTCCAAGACTTCACTATTGTGAATAGTGCCGCAATAAACATAGGTGTGCATGTGTCTTTATAGCAGCATGATTTATAATCCTTTGGGTATATACCCAGTAATGGGATGGCTGGGTCAAATAGTATTTCTAGTTTTAGATCCTTGAGGAATTGCCACACTGTCTTCCACAATGGTTGAACTAGTTTACAGTCCCACCAACAGTGTAAAAGTGTTCCTATTTCTCCACGTCTTCTCCAGCACCTGTTGTTTCCAGACTTTTTAATGATCGCCATTCTAACTGGTATGAGATGGTATCTCATTGTGGTTTTGATTTGCATTTCTCTGATGGCCAGTGATGATGAGCATTTTTTCATGTATCTGTTGGCTGCATAAACGTCTTCTTGAGTCTTGCTATGTTTCTTAGGCTGGTCCTGGCCTTCTGACCTCAAGCAATCCTCCCACCTCAGCCTCCTAAAGTGTTGGGATTACAGGCATGAGCCATTGCACTTGGCCAGTTTCACGCATTTAGTATTGATAATCAAGATGATTACAATACTAATGGAATATTTAATGAGTGTTTATTCATTGTTGTGTAACTTGGTGTGGACTACCAGACTTTCTCACAAAAATCCTTATGATTACCTCATGAAATAGGTTATATATTTCTCTCTTAAAGATTTCTCATGAAACTCAAAAGGGACAACATATGTGAAAACACTTTTGCACAGTATAAAATGACATAAACAGATGAAGTTTATCATCATGGCATTTCACATTATGTCTAACATGATAGATGGAATGGTGAATTCCTACTTAGAATATACCACCCTAATAACTGCTTGTTAGCTAGGTCTCACATTCCAGTATTAAATAGCATTCTTTATCCCCAGACGTCATTACTGAATTTGAAATTCTTTGACAGCATAATCACTCTGGTTGAATTAACAACATAGTGCCTTCAACGTGATTCCTTAAGCAACCAGTTTCCAGTGCAGAGATGGAAAGAGAAAGACTTAAAACAAAGAGGGAAGCAATCGAGGGCAAAGAAGCACAGAACCAAACTCAAGGGTGGCTGTCAGCCTTTCCCCCTCAGCTAATTAAATTGCTGGCTGATTATGACAATAGAATCTTTTTATTGCTTTCAATTCATTAGGCAGTAAACATAAATTATATTATTATCCAGAAAATTTAGGAATTTCCGATCTATGAGAACCTATAGAACGGTTCAATAAGATAGGCTAACAGAAACAAACTATGTAAAAATCAGTAACTTCACAAGTGATCTTTGGCAATAAAACATAATGGTAAATGAATATATTCAAAACAGAAAAAAATCTGAAAAATACCTAGAAATCATACTATAAAGATTTTTCTTGACCTTGCTTTCTTGGTTAAGAAATGTTTATATCCTGAGGGATACAAAAGAAAAATTAAATGTTACCAGTGATGCTCAACTAGGATAAAGATACACATAGCTGCAAAAGTAAGGAAATTACATTTAAAATCCAAATTGAAGTTCTTGAGGGAATTTGATAATTTAATTTGAATTATCAATTATTTCTTATATAAAAGAATTTCATATCATTTCTTATATGAAAGAAATTACTTTGGATATTTAAAAGATTCTTCAAAAATAGTAATAATCAAGAATACTCACCATTTAATAAATGAAATTTGAAAGCCACACATTTAAAAACAATGTGGAATTGGATTAAATACAGGCAGAAAGCTTTCTATGTTGGATAACTTCTACATGCAAGAAATATCTTGCGTATTTACTTCATGCTGTTTACCCATATGCATTTCATATGAGTTGAAAGCTCTGGCTGGGCACGGTGGCTCACGCCTGTAATCCCAGCACTTTGGGAGGCCGAGGCGGGCGGATCACGAGGTCAGAAGATCGAGACCATCCCGGCTAAAACGGTGAAACCCCGTCTCTACTAAAAATACAAAAAATTAGCCGGGCGTGGTGGCAGGCGCCTGTAGTCCCAGCTACTTGGGAGGCTGAGGCAGGTGAATGGCGTGAACCCGGGAGGCGGAGCTTGCAGTGAGCAGAGATCGTGCCACTGCACTCTAGCCTGGGCGACAGAGCGAGACTCCGTCTCAAAAAAAAAAAAAAAAAAAAAAAAAGAAAGCTCAAATTTTAAAATATAAAACCTTAAAAGTCTGGAAGATCTTTGCTGCACAGTTTTATGTGAGTAAGGCCAATTTTAGAAACTCTATATATCATGATGCCATTTTTGGCATTGAAACCATTCCCTATAAGTAACAAAGAGGTCAATATGCATTTATTCAAGCAAGATCGTTATGCAGAAGGATATGCAACACAGTGAGGGCATTCTCAGCATAGTTAATGTAAGAGTGGGTGAGATTGGAGGGATTGTTGAACAAAACTATTCAATTATTGAGAACTGGTACAACAATGGACAAAACCAAAATACTCGACATACAAAATCTTCTCTAAATGGCATAATAAACCATTAATATCTTTATGCCATTAAGACTGAATGAAGGAGTAACTGCAAAAACACTTTCATAATCTAAAAGGAGACATGAGAGAGAAAAGATACAAAGTTTTAATTTTATTTTTGCAGTTCAATGGTGTGGACAATCCAAGTCAGTTACCCTTACAAAAAAAATTATGAGAACACATAACATATCCCACTATATTGGAGAGAGGGAAGAAAGCAGAAAATTTAGGACTTTGCCTACATAAAAACATTAAAGGTTTTAAAAAGTCAGGCAGATTTAGGATGTATCCACAATAGAGAGGAAACATATGAAACATCTATTAATAATATATTTATAAAGACTTGGTCAGGTACCATATAAAATAACCAACTTAAATTTAAAGAAGATTTTGAAACAAGGCTTCAAAAAAGGTAAATACACATATCTGGAATAAAAAGTTTCAATATTGAAATATATGAATACTTCCTTGAAACATTTTAATATTTGCAGCAATGAAATGAAACAAAATTAGAATGAATTTACTGATTATGATGAATTGATTTGTGGCTTTATTTTTTAATCTCAGTTCCTTAAAAATAAAGATATAATTCACTTTAAAATAGCTAAAATATCATCTAGAAATTGATGACAAAGAGAAAACAGATCAATAAGATGAAGTGACAGAAAACTAATTTATAAAAATATAACTTACCAACAGGATATAATTGACATATATAGAAAACAGATCATGGAACATTCACTAAGATGGACAATATCTTGGGTCATAGAATAAACCTCAACACATTAAAAAAATAAAATTGTACATAATATGTACTCTGTTCACAATAGAATCAAATTAAAAACCTGTAACAAAATGATAACAGGAAAATCATTCCTAAATATGTAGAAATTAAGCAACACCCTTAAATAAATCCATGGATCAAAGAGGAAGTCTCAAAGGTAATTTTTAAAAAATACCAGAAACTGAACAAAAATGAAAACACAACACTACAAAATATGTGGGACACAGATAAAGCAGTGTGAAGAGTGATACTGATAGCATTAAGTGCTTACACTACAAAAGAGGAAAGATCTCAAACATACAGAATCTAAGTTCTAATCTGGTTCTACTTCAAGAACTAGAAAAAGAACATAACAGACTCAAATAAAGAAATAAATAATGAAGAGGAAAATGTATCAAGGTTATTAAAAATAGGAAAACAATAGAGAAAGTCACTGAAAGAAAAAGCTGATTCTTCAAGAAACCAGTTCAGCTGACAAATGTTTATTAAGCCTGACAAAATTCAAAAGAGAGAAGACACAACTCACTAATATCAAAAATAAAATGAGGGTCATCACTAAAGGTATTACAGTGATAATAAGAGAATACTATGAACAATTTACACTCATACATTTGAAAACTTAGAAGAAATGGACCACTCACAAACTAATAAAATTCAACTAAGGTGAAATAGATAATCTAAATACTTTTATAATCATTAGAGAAATTGAATACACAACCAAAATGATTCTGTAAAAGAAATCTCCAAGCCCAGAGAGGATCACTAAAAATTTTACCAACCACTTAAAAATTTAATACCAGTTCTACATAATCTCTTTCAAAAAATAGACTATTTGAGAACACTTTCCAACTTATTCTATGAATCTAGTCCCTGTTATCAAAACTATGCAAAGAGAACACAAAAAATATTAAAACTAATATCTCTCCTGAACTTAGATACAAAAACCCTCAAAAAATATTAGCAAATAGCATCCAACAAAATATAAAAATAATATTACATCATGACAAGTATGGTTTATTCCATCTATGCAAGGCTAGATCATATTAGAAAATCAATCAATGCAATCTACCATATAAATGATATAATTGATATTGATGAAATGATATAATTGATATAATGATATCAATCGATGCAAAAATCAGTTGACTATATCTAACACTTATTCATGAAAAAATCTCAGAAAACTAAAAACAGAAAAAATTCTCAACTTGATAAAGCTCATCTACAAAAAACCTGCGGCTAACATCATACTTAACGGTGAAAGATTGACTATTGTTTCTCTAATATCAGGAACAAAGAAACAATGTGTACTCTCATCTCTTATTTGATGTAGTACTAGAAGATATAGATATATATAGATATATATATATATCTATATATATATATATATATATATAGAGAGAGAGAGAGAGAGAGAGAGATGATTATTTAAAAATGTATATGGAAAGGCATAAGTAATGAAATACCTTAAATTTTTTTTTGAGACCAAGGACAATGGCTTATGTGTGTAGTCCCAGCACTTTGGAAGGCCAAGATGGGAGGGTCACTTGAGCCCAGGAGTTCAAGGCCATCCTGGGCAAGATGGTGAGACCCTGCCTCTGAAAAAAAAAAAAAAAGAATTTGGAAAAGAATACAGTTGGAGGAATCTCTTAATCCAATATTGACTTATTATATAGCTAGTACAAGTAAGACAGCATAGTATTGCTGGATGGTTAGACACATTGGTCAATAGAATGGAATAGAGAACAAAGAAATAGACCAAAATTTGCTCAATTTTGACAAAACTGCAAAAGCAATTAAATGGAAGAAAGATAGGTTTTTCAACAAATGCTGTTGAAGAAATTGGACATTTATAGGAAAAAAAAGATTTTGACCTAATCCTTACTTCTTATACACAAAGTCACTCAAAATCTATCACAAAATTATATGTAAAATGTAAAAGTTTAGGAAAATAAAACATAGAAGAAAATCTTTGAGATCTAGGACTAGGCCAGTAATTCTTAGACTTAACATTGCAAACAAGATCCATAAAAAGAAAATTGATAAATAAAACCCCATCAAAATTATAAACCTTTGTTCTGTGAAAGAATCTATGAAAAGGGTAAAAAGACAAGCTACAGTTACAAACCCTATATTCAACAAAGGTCTACTAGTATCTAGAATGTATAAAGGACTCTTAAAACTCATCAGTATAAAAATCTACAATCCAATTATAATATAGGCAGAGGACATGAACAGACAATTTACTGAAGAGGATATATAAGTGTCAAAAATATACATGAAAACACATTTAAAATTATTAGCCATCAGGGGAAATACATACTAAAATCACAATGAGATATTACTACACACCTACTGGAATGACTAATGTAAAAATATAGTCATGCAAATACTGGCAAGAATGTGAAGAAACTGAATCACTCATACATTGATTGGCTGGTGGGTGTTAAAAGGGTATAGCCACTATAGTAAAGATAGTGGTCGTTTCTTACACAACTAAACATGTACTTACCATATGACCAAACGATTGCATTCTTAGGCTTTTATCAAAGGAAACTGAAAATTTGTATACACACAAAAACCTGGATATAAATGTGCACAGCACTACTTTTTGTAATAGCCAAAAAGTGGAAATAACCCAAAAGTCCTTCAATGGGTGAATCTATAAAGAAGCCATGGTACATTCATACCACGGAACACTCTCAGCAAAAAAAAAAAAAAAAAAATGACAACAAATAGAAAAATCAACTCAAAAAGATTAAAGGTCTAAAGGTAAGTCCTGAAACTGTAAAATAACTAGATGAAAACATAGGGAAAAAGCTTCCTAACATTGACTTAGGCAAAGATTTTTTGTTAAAAATAGAACTACCAAAGGTTACTTGGAGATTTTGTTTCTGTTATACAGTTCAGTCAGTTCTAACTACAATGTAAACATTGATAACTCATTTGGACCTGAAGACAAAAAAGTAAAAAGAGGTTTTGTAAATAATTAAATTGCAGTGGAAACTGCTTAGGCCAAATTTTGATCCACAGCCTTCATTGGATTACCTATCAGGGAAAACAAAGTTTAGTCATGTGAACAGGACTAAATTTTGTAAGAAATTACTTAGATGCATTTATCTTTTGTAAAATAATGAGTTTGTAATGTCGTCTCATGGCTAGAGTTCTGAGGCAAAACCTATGGGATCTTTGCTTCTGTGTGCATATACATGTTTAAATGTGTTTATGTGTATGCACATGTATAATGTTATGGAGTGTCTAGCATGGTATGAAATTAGTTTATAAATAAATGAATAGTTATAAATTAAATAATTTCAAATGATTTTCAGGTTCATATTAATTTAGTAATTTTTAGTACATAAACTGGATCAAAAATTATTGGTAAAATAAAAATAGAAATACTGCCAGCATTGTCAGTCTACATTTTTGTCTAGGTTTGCTAATTAGACAAGTTTTAGATTTGCCTCTGCTAGATATTTTAAGGTGTCAGGGTTTTACCTGAAGGTTTTAAGACCATAAGATGAGCCAAAAACAGAGGAATCTTTGTGTGATTTTTTGATAGACAAGACCAATTTGATATTGTTAATTTAATGAAAACAGCTGAATTTTCTGAGTTATCAGCAAAAATGCCAATGTGCTCAACATTAAGGTTCTTGCTTAGGTTAACATCTGATATTCTCAGGCTATGAAAATGGTTAAAAAAAGATAAAGTTGGAATGATGGTAAGCTTTATCTAATGTCTTGGCACTCATGAGTAAACCAGATAAACTGCTAAAAATAAATAAAGAAAACGTAAATGATATAAATACTTGTAGGTAAAACTTTTGTGTATTTTAAAAATCTTAAAATTATTTTAGGTACTGATCGAATGTCTGGGTCATTTCCACTTTAAGAAGGGTTATGATATGGGGCATTGGTCGCAGTTCTGAGCCTCTTAATGGGAAATATAATCTATGATATGGGGGAAACATTGGTGGACATCAGTGAGCTGGATAAAAACAAGGACCAAGTCCAGAAAGTAACCAAGGAATGAAAAGAAGATGTGTCAAATGGGTGCCTGTACCCTTGCCCCAGCCCAGGCAGGTAATAAACATGAGACAATACTCTCTGTTAGGGGACACTCTGTAATATGGTTTGCCTCTGTTTCCCCACCCAAATCTCACGTTGAATTGTAGTTCCCAGTGTTGGGGGAGGAACCTGGTGGGAAGTCATTGGATCATGTGGGCAGATTTCCTCCTTGCTGTTCTTGTGATAGTGAGTTTTAGGAGGTAAGATGGTTTTAAAGTGCATGGCACTTCCCCCTTCGCTCTGTCTCTCCTGTTCCGCCATGTGAAGATTGTGCCTGCTTTCCCTTTGGCTTCCACCATAATTGTAAGTTTTCTGAGGCCTCCCCAGCCATGCTTCTCCGACAGCCTGTGGAACCATGAGCCAATTAAACCTCTTCTTTATAAATGACCCACTCTCAGGTAGTTCTTTATAGCAATGTGAGAATGGGTGAATGCACTCTCAAACCACCCAGCCAATCGAGAAATTACATAAGGTACAAATAGTCAGGTTGGCAAAGAGCCCCTATAATAGCCCTTTGTGGCCTGTGAAGAAGCCAACTGACACCTGGAGAATGATGAGCGACTACTGTGAGCTAAATAAAGTGGTGCCCCTGTACACGCAGCTGTACCCAATATTGCTGAACTGCTAAATCAAGTGGTCCTTAATCTGTGAAATATTCATGCTGTGACTGGCTTGGCTAATGCCTTTTCCAGTATTCCTTTAGCTGAAGATTCACAAGACCAGTTTGCCTTCACTTAGGAGGGCCAACAATCGACTTTCCAGGTGCTACCATAAAGATAGCTGCACAGCTCCACCATCTGTCACAGTTTGGGTGCACAGGACCTGTCTAGACTTTGCCTGACTCAGTCTCCCTGTTTTACTATATTAATGATAACATACTAACCCTAGAGTTTCTTACAGATCTGGAGACTGCCTTAGAAACCATCTTGGATGGCCTAAGGGACAGAGAATGGAAAGTCAACCCCAAAAAGACAGAGGGGCCTGGTGCAGCTGTCAAACTTCTAAGTTACCTAGTTGGGGAAGACATGAAACCTACTCAGAGCTGTCATCGATAACATAGCACAGCAACCTATTCCCCAGTCAGTAAAGCAACTCCAAGTTTTCCTAGGTTTACTAGGCTATTGAAGGATATTCATTCCTCATTTTGCACAAACCCTCAGCCCATTACATATCCTAACAAAGGCAGGTAAAAAATGGGATGAGGCACATATCGAATAAGAGCATTTGGCAAAGCAAAAACATTAGTGAAACAAGCCCAAGTACGAGGAGCCCATTCTAGCATTCCTTTGTATTATAAGTCACTGGAGATATCACAATGATGAATTGAAGATTATGGCAAAAGCAACCAAAGGGAATGGTATCTGTAGGATTTTTGTCTCAATTATGGAAGGGGACAGGATCCTGCTATACAGTCATAGAACAACAGCTATTTAGCATGAATATAGGGCATTGGAACAATTGGAGGCCATCACCAGAAAGCAGGCCATCATAGTAAAAACTGCCTATTCCATAAAAGGATGAATAGAATATCTCCTAGACAAGCCCATCCTCAGAGTAGTACAATCACACACCCTGTAGAAATGGCATGCCTATCTACAACAAAGGCGTGTCCTGTCCACTAGTCCTTTAAGCCAGGCAATACAGGAGGTGCTTGGACCCATCCACTTTGATCAAGTGGAGGAGTTCGACATGGGAGTGGAGCCACCATATATGAGGGAACCTTAGGGATACCTTCTAGGGCCTGGTACACTGATGGGTCTAGCAAAGGCACTCAATACCAATGGTCAGCAGTCATTGTGCAAATGGATACTAACATCATGTGGATAGAATGGGGATTAGGACCAAACAGTCAATGGGACAAGCTATGGGCAATCTGGATACTCATTACGCATGAGCTCTGGCCACCAGTCATTTGCAAAGACAGTTGGGGTACATACAGAGGCACATAGCCTTAAAGTCCCCTTCTGGAAATTAAGAGGTAGACACCCTTACTCATGTTTGGGCAATTTGCCCTGAACCCATTGGAAGAGGCTGTTCTAAGGGAACATCATAAGAGTGGCCACTGTGGGGTAGCCATAGGTGAGCCATAGCAAAAACAGCAGCCATTCTATCTGCAATTCAAATGTTTTTCCAGCTGTTCAGAACTGTGAGACCTGTTCATGGCTGCAACCTAGAAATGTTCCCTTCACACTAGGTCACAAACATGGAGCCATACAACCTGTGTGGAACTGGCAAGTCAATTATTGGTCCCCTGACCCAGCATGGAGGGAAAAGGTATGTCTTAACCTGTGTGGACACAACAACATAGGTACTACAGTCCTTCCCAGTAAAACATGTCCCTCAACTGGAAATGATCAAGTGTCTCACCACTGTTAGTGTCATGTATGGCATGCCAAGAAGGATAGACGGTAATCAAGTACCCCATTTCATGGACCATGATGCCCAACACTGGACATCAGGACAAAACATAGATTGGAGGTTCCACTTACCATACGACCCAACAGGGACAGGCCTCATAGTTAAAAGTAAGTAAATAAATAAATAAATAAAATAAAAGGACCTGTTAAAAAAAACACAATTACATGCATTGTCTCAGGATGGTTCTTTAAGGTCCTGAAGGTGTACAAATTTTAAATGTCACTGACTATCAGATGGTATCACTTTTTGTAAAGCAGGCCCCATCAACTCTCATGGTTGCTTCTGAGACTCTGAGCCATGTTCCTGAAGCTGGTGGCCAGACTGTGCTCCTGAGAGCATGAGAGGATCTGCCAAATGGCGATGGCTACATGGACCTAAAGTTGAGCTGGAAAGTACCCCCATAGTGGGTCAGTTTTATGTCACCAGAGGGCGCCATGAAGACTGCCAGAAGGGAGGTGGACCCAGTTGTGCTCCTGGATGAAGGTCTGAGAGGCTTGCCATATCGACACATAGCAGCACCAATACCTGCTGGAGCAGTCATACTGCAGATAGCATGAGCAAGGCCGGAAACTTACCAATGGGCTATTATGCCTGCTCCTGGAGAGGGAAGCCATGTGTGGTACTGTATACCAGGTGTGAAGCCCATGGCAGCCTCCCTAATAAGGCCAATGGGAGAAAATACAGCAATAATAATGTTACAAGAAGTGGATGCACCCATGAGAGTTCCTACTAGACACCTGGGCTTATGCCCATGGACTGGTGTTCCTGCTACCCTTGACAGCTGGCAATGTCTTCCTGAACTGGGCTGCAATAACAGCAGCAGTCAGCAACCAATCAGATGCTTGCGTATGTGGATACTTTCTGCTGTCACGTAGTAGTGGTATACCTTGGAATATTTTGCCTTTCTTCCAACAGAACTGGAGTGACTGGTTCAATAGCACCGATAAGGCAACCTATGATTACTGGAGATTGCTTCCACCCAGAGGCCTAATCACCAACACAGCGGAGACCCAACAACATGTGCCTTTATAGGCGCTATCTGTTGTACCTATATCCCTGATAGAAAGAGTAATGTCACAGATACTTTAAATCATTCGTCAATTCAGATCCATGATATAGCCCAATTACCATGATATAGCCCAATTTGACTCATTCTCAGATTGGTTACACACCTTGCCTACTCATTGGAGTTATGTTTTACCAATAAGCATTATAATTGTAGTTAACTTCTGCTTTTTATGCTGTTACATATACTGTAGAAGTGGCCTGTACACACAAGCCATGACTATACATTATAAGCTCATGTAGTTTTTTCCCTTGTACCTCGCTCAGAGATTCTCATGCAAGATTGGCAGAGAGAATGTAAGAGCTAGGAGATGAGATGGATTGTAGTGTTATGGGTCCCCCACTAAGCTACTTAAGGGTGTATGTCCACTGCGTGAACCCTTAAGGCTGGGCAGTAAGATAAGGCCATGGGGCCTAGCCAAGGAGTAGGTGTCCCTGAGAATCCAAACATCCCAAGAGTATCTGAGAACTTACCAAGGAAAACAGTCTCATCACTCAAACACAACAGGCAAAGAGCCAGAAAATTTGCTTAAAGCAGTACAGAGACAGAAGGCAGAGTGGAACTCTAGAGCTGTCCTGCTGCTGCCCAGGAGCACCCTGTATGCAAGTCCTAATAACCTCATCTTCTCACCAAGTTGGACCTGTCAAAGAAGTTCTTTGGTCACTTTGCACCTTCCCATTTTGGTGGAGAGTGGGTCAGATGTTACAGTCTCAAGCTTTTCTCGTAATGGAAGTAGATCTCTACAATAAGTAAATGTGGAGGCTTTTTGGACTTTGGCAGTCTGTCCAAACTGTAGGTCAGTCAACCTATAGTTGGGATGAATTTTAAAACACCACATGAAGCTGTTAGAATCTTTCTGCTATGCTGTGATGCTGTCAATTAACTTGAGACATCATGTTCATTGCAACTATAGAAGACATAGAATCAACCTAACTGTTCAACAGCTGATTGAATGAAGAAAATGTCACACACACACACACACACACACACACACACACACAAATATAATACTATTCAGCCTTAAAAACATAAGAAGTCCTGTCATTTGCCATAACATGGATAAAACTGAGGGACATTACATTAAACAAAATATTCCAGGTATAGAGAGACAAATACTGCATGAGCTCACTAATATGTAGAGTCTTAAAAAGTTGAACTCACAGAAGTAGAGAGTAAAACAGTGGTTACCAGAGGCTGGGAGGAGAGAAGGAGCTGTTGGTCAAATGATACAAAATTTCAGTTGGGAGGAATAAGTTCAAGAGGTCTATTGTAAAGTCTGGTGACTATAGTTAATAAAAACATACTGTACTCTTGGAAATCACAGAAGGAGGCAGAGCAAGATGGCAGAATATAAGGTTCCACTGACTATTCCCTCCACAAGGACACCAGTTTTACAACTATCTAAACAAGAAAAACACCTTCAGGAGAACCAAAAATCAGGTGAGAAGTCATGGTACCTGGTTTTCACTTCATATCACTGCAAGAGGCACTGAATAGGTAGAAAAAACAGTCTTGAACCACCAACACCACCCCTCCCCAACCCTTCTCCCACCACTGGCAGTGGCAGCACGGTGTGGAGAGTGTTTCTCTGTGCTGGGGGAGGGAGAGTGCAGCAATTGTGAGGCATCGAACTCACTGCTTTTTTGGTAGAGCAGAAAGAAAAACTGGAACAAACTCAGCTGACACCTGCCCATGGAGGGAGTATTTAAACAAGTCCTAGCCAGAGGGGGATCAGTGATCCCACTGGTCAAAACTTGAGTTACCTGAAGCCTCGCCACCAGAGGCTAAAGTGCCCTGGGGTTCTAAGTAGATGTGGGGGGAAGCTTAGAACACAAGGACTGCAAATTTTACACAAATCATGATGCTGAACTGGGCCCAGAACCAGTAGACTTGGGGTGGGGTACAGCACACAATCTATTGAGACACCAGCTAGGACAGCTAGGGGAGTGCTGGCGTTATCCTTTCCCCAACCACAGGCTGAATAGCTCATGGCTCCAAAAGAGATCCCTTCCTTCTCTTTGAGAAGAGAGAAGAAAGACTGGGGAGGACTTTGTCTTGCATCGTGGATAACAGCACAGCTACAGCAGCACAGGGCACTGGGCAGACTCACGAAGCCCCGCTTCTAGTTCTAGCTCCTGGATAACATTTCTAGACAAGCCCTGGGCCAGAAGGGAACCTGCTGTCTTGATGGTAAGGACCCAGTCCTTGCAGGATTCATCACCTGTTAACTGAAGAGCTTTTGGGCCCTGAATAACCAGCAGTGATAGCCAAGTGATTGAGGGCCTTGGGTGAGCCTCTGAGACTTGCTGGCTTTAGGTGAGACTCAGCACATTCCCAGCTGTGGTGGCAGTGGAGTGAGATTCCTTCTGCTTGAGAAAAGCAAAGGAAAAAGAAAAGGGGACTTTATCATGCACCTTAGGCACCACCTCAGTCACATGGAAGTAGGGAACCAAGCAGGGCCTTGAGGTTACTGTTTCCTGGAATTGGCTCTGAGCAGCATTTCTAGACTTGCCCTAAGCCAGAGGAGAGCCCACTGCCCTGAAGGGTGAGTCCCGGGTAAGGCAGTATTCACCACGAGTTGACTGAAGAGCCCTTGGCACTTAAGGGAACATTGGCAGTAGTCTGGCAGTACTACCCATGGACCTGTGGTAGCAGTGGTTACAGGTTGAGGCTCCTCTGCCTTTGGAAAGGTGAGAGAACAGAGGGAAGGGCTGTGTCTTCTGCTTTGAGTGCCACCTCAACCGCAGTACAATTAGCACACCAGGTAAGTTCTAAGGTTTTTGACTATAGTTCCTGGCTCCGTGATTGACCCTCTGGACCCACCCGGGGACTGGAGTAACTCATTGCCCTGAAGGAAAAAACACAAGTCTGGCTGTCTTTACCACCTGCTGATTGTAGAGCCCCAGGGCCTTGAGCAAAAATAGGCCATAGACAAAGAATGGTTAGAGCGGGCCTTGGGAGAAACCAAGTGTTGAGCTAGCTTCAGGTCTGATCCAACACAGTCATAGTGGTAGTGGTTACATGGGTGCTTCAGTAACTCCACCCCCAGCATCAGGTGTCTCAGAAAAGAGAGAATGAGACTCCATTTGTTTGGGAGAAAATAAGGGAAGAGAACAAAAGTCTCAACCTGGTAATCCATCGGGTTCTCCTGGATCATGTCCAAGAACATTAAGGTGATAACTCTATGAGTCTGCAAGAATCACAGCATTACTGGGCTTGGGGTGACCCTAAAGCAGACACAACTGAGATGACAACATTCAAGTCCTTTCAAATGTATGCAAAGCCTTCCCAAGAAGGAAGTCTACAAATAAGCCCAGAGACTGAAGCCTACAATAAGTATTCAACTCTTCAATGTCCAGACACAGATGAACATCTGTAAGTATCAAGACATTCCAGGAAAACATGACTGCACCAAATGAACTACATAAGGCACCAGGGATACAACCTGGAGAAGCAGATATATGTGACCCTTCAGACACAGAACTCAAAATAGCCATGTCGAGGAAACTGAAAGAAATTCAAGATAACACAGAGAAAAAAATCAGAATTCTATCAGATAAATTTAACAAAGGGATTGACGTAAAAAGAATCAAACAAATTCTGCAGCTGAAAAATGCAATTGGCATATCGAAGAACACATCAGAGTCTTTTAGTAGTAGAACTGATCAAGCAAAAGAAAAAAATTAGTGAGCTTGAAGACAGGCTATTTGAAAATACACAGTCAGAGAAGGCAAGGGCAAATATAAGTGTTATTGGCCTTAAAGAGGAGTTAGAGAAAAATATAGGAGTAAAAAATGTATTGAAAGGGATAATAACAAGAACTTCTAAAACCTAGAGAAAGATATCAAAATTCAAGTACAAGAAGGTTGTAGAACACCAAGCAGATTTAATTCAGAGGACTGTCTCAAGGTACTTAACAATCAATTTCCCAGAGGCCAAGGATAAAGAAAGGATCTATGTGTTTATGAATGTTACTTAGCTTGCCTTATCTGTTCTACAATGTATACCTATTTCAAAACATTATATTATATATGGAAAGGTTACATAGGATATAATTTCTATTTAAATAAAATTCTTGAAATGACAAAATGATGAAGATAGAGAATCGATTAGTGGTTTTCCGGGGTTAGAGAGGCGGTGAAAGAAGGGAGGTGGCTTTGGCTGTAAATGGGTAACATGAAGAATGCTTGTGATGAGAACTGATCTATATCTTAATTGTGGTGGTTTTCACATGCTTCTACACACACTGTGAAATTACATGGAACAAATTACACATAGAAAATTAGTTTAAAATAAAATATAAAATCACAGAAATCTAAAATTACTGATATATTTCTAATATATCAACAAATAACCACTTAGAAAATTAATACACACTTTAAAGCTAAAATAGACTAGATTTCAAAGGATGTTATAAGCCTAATAATTAATATAAATGTTCATGAGAATAAAAAATGTTATGAAATGGGACCGACTAGTTTATTAGCAGTAGTTAAGGAAAGGTTACAGAATAAATCTATTAAGGGCAACATTTTCTATTTTGCATCAGTCAACTACTAGATTAGACATTGTTACTTTTTTCATTAAAAAGAACTTATCAATAAAACAATTATTTTATTTTTTTGTCCTGGTGCTGTGGCTCACACCTGTAATTCCGTCACTTTGGGAGGCCGAGGTGGACAAATCACTTGAGGTCAGAAGTTTGAGACCGTACTGGCAAACAAGACTGATATGGTTTGGCTTGTCCCCATCCAAATCTCACTGAAATTCCCACGTGTTGTGGGAGGGACCAAGTAGGAGGTGATTGAATCATGGGGGCAGGTCCTTCCCATGCTGTTCTAATGATAGTGAATAAGTCTCATGAGATCTGATGGTTTTAAAAGCGGAAGTTTCTCTGCACAAGCTCTGTCTTTACCTGCCACCATCCACGTAAGATGTGACTTGCTCCTCCTTGTCTTCCACCATAATTGTGAGGCCTCCCCAGCCATGTGGAACTGTAAGTCCGTTAAAGCTCTTTCTTTTATAAATTGCCCAGTCTTGGGTATGTCTTTATCAGCAGCGTGAAAATGGAGTAATGCAGTAAGTTGGTACCAGTTGAGTGGGGTGATGCTGAAAAGATACCCAAAAATATGGCAGCGACCTTGGAACTGGGTAACAGGCAGAGGCTGGAACTGTTTGGAGGGCTCAGAAGAAGACAAAAATGTGGGAAAGTTTGGAACTCCCTAAAGACTGTTGAATGGCTTTGACAAAAATGCTGTCGGTGACAGCATTTTTGTGTGTGCAGTAGTTAATGATCACTGATATTATTTTTAATATAGAGAAACCAAGAAAAGTCAACTAAATCCTAATGAGAATCAAAAGGATATTTTAGTAATTCGGGCAGGCAAAAAATAAACATAAAAGCAGATAACTTTGGCATAATTAATTTAAAAAGGCATCGGATAACTTGAGTCTCAGATTATATAGTAGAGAATGAAAAGGGGGTCCTTTGAACTAGCATGCAATTTTTAACATCATTAGAAACAATTTAGTATATACTATCTTTTTTTTTTTTTTTTGACGGAGTCTCACTCTGTCGCCCAGGCTGGAGTGCAGTGGCACAATCTTGGCTCACTGCAAGCTCTGCCTCCCAGGTTCATGCCATTCTCCTGTCTCAGCCTCCCAAGTAGCTGGGACTACAGGTGCCCACCACCACGCCTGGCTATTTTTTTTTTTTTGTATTTTTAGTAGAGACAGGGTTTCACCATGTTAGCCAGGATGGTCTTGACCTCCTGACCTCGTGATCTGCCCACCTCAGCCTCCAGTATGTACTGTCTTATAGAAAGTATTTTCCAAGTATACATGAGATTGAAATATGTATCTCAAATAAAAATATTTAGATATCAAGAGAGGTATTTGAATTTATTGCCCACACAAAAATAAGTACATGAGAATTATCTAGAAATAATCTTACTAAGAATTATTTAAGGCATGCTTGAAGAATTCTGGAAAACTTTCCGAGGCTTACTCTAAGTGACTTGTATAAAACTATGCACACATAATTCAATATTGAAAAGTTATATATTTTAAATGTATCCTTTTCTAAAGTAATTTTTATTTTTTAAATTTTTATTGACATATTATAGTTCTACATATTTGTGGGGTACATGTGATGTTCTGATACATGTATACAACATGTAATAATCAAATCAGGGTAATTTGGATATTTATCACATCAAATATTTATCATTTCTTTGTGTTGGAAAAATTACAATTGTTTTCTTTCAGTGATTTTGAAAAACACTGTTAATTATTATAAACTATAATTTCCCTACTGTATTTTCAACTACCGTATTTTTGTATCCAGTAACCAACTTCTCTTCTTCCCGCTCCCTTCCCTTCCCAGACTCTGGTAATCACCACTTTACTCTCTACCTCCATGAGATCCACTATTGGAGCTCCCACAAATAAATGAGAACATGTGAAGTTTGTGTTTCTTGGCCAGGCTTATTTCACTTAATGACCTATAATTTCATCTATGTTGCTGCAAATGACAGAATCTCATTCTTTTTTATGGCTGAACATTTCATTGTGTATATATACATTTTCTTTATTCATCTGTTGATAGACACTTAGGCTGATTCTATATCTTCACGATTGTGACTGGTGCTTCAATAAATATGGAAATGCAGATATCCCTTCAACACACTGATTTCCTTTCACTGGGATATATACCCAGTAGTGGCACTGCTGGATCATATGGCAATCCTATGTTTAGTGTTTTGATAAGCCTCCATCCTGTTTCCATAATGGCTGTTCCACTTCATATTCCCACCAACACTCCATGAGTGTTCCCCTTTCTCTGCATTCTCACCAGCATTTGTTGTTTTTTGTGTTTTTTATAATAGCCATTCTAACTGGGATGAGATAATGTCTCATTGTAGTTTTGATTTGAATTTCCCTGATGATTAGTAATGTCGAATATATATTTTTTCATATACCCATTGGTCATTTGTATGTCTTCTTTTGAGAAATGTCTGTTCAGGTCTTCTGCCCGTTTTTAATCAGATTAGTCAATTGCTATTAATTTCATTATATTTCTGATACTTAATCCCTTCTTGGATACTGCAAAGCTACTGTAAACAAGAGTATGCTACTGGCATAAAAACAGACAGCTAGACCAATGGAACAAAACAAAGAACCCATTAAAAAATCCCACACACTTACATGCAAAGCATTTTTGACATAAGAACCAAGAACATACACTGGGGAAAAGAACAGCCCCTTTAATAAATGGCAATGGGAAAACTGGATATCTATATGCAGAAGAACAAAACTAGATCCCCATATTTTACCAATACAAAAGTCAACTCAAAGTGGATCAAAGACTTAAAAGTAAGACCTAAAACTGTGAAACTATTAGAAGAAATAATTGGGGAAACACTACAGGACACTGGTCTGGGCAAATAATTTTTGGGGGTAAGACCTCAAAAAGACAGTCAAGAAAAGCAAAAATAGGTAAATGGGATTATATCAAACTAAAAAGCTACTGCACAGGAAAAGAAATAATTCTACAAAATGCTAGAAAATATTTACAAATTATCAAATGCATTATTAGGATTAAAGTAAATAAAATTTCTCAGGTGCCTTTTCTGGCTATTTGAAGCACTCAGGCTACAGTTGAGCTGTAAGAAAATGTTGTACATCAGGATATGCAAGAGAAACCTCAAAAACAAAGATTAGCTGAGAGATATATTCATACTAGTTATCAAGTATAAAGGTACACTAATTAAAATGAGAGATTGACTTAATAATTGATGAGGGAATAGTAGAAAAAAGAATGCATTCTTAAATAACATTGGCCATATTCGGCATCTGCTGTAAGTCAGCACATACATCCGAAAGCTGACAATCTGTTTTAGTAATTACAATATTAACTCTTAAATTCAAAAAATTCCATTGTCCATTTGGAATGTTTGCATTGCATCCCCAGCATCCCAGGAAAAATAAGATATTGAACAATTTATAAAGAAAATCCCAAATTCCGGGTACTTTTTTGTACAATCAGTGACCAAAAATACCTTATTATATATATTCGATTAATCTGTAAGAAATTGATCATAGAATGTGGCGGGGAAGTATTTGCCCCATGCTGTCAGCATTGCTTAAGGCAAGAGGAAAAATGGATAATGTGGAGTGAATCATGCCATTTTCCTTCACTCATCTTTGAAATGTTTCACTTCAATGAGCTGGCGTCATTTTCAATGAAATAAAATTAACAGACAAAATAACATTTAAAAAATAAAAGCAAATGCTGTGCAGTGCTAACCAAGTCACTTAGCGTAACAAATAATCCATTTTCTCTGTCTGTAAACAGGATGTAATGCCGGCCCTGGGCGTTATTGAAAGCAACAGTAAACATAAGAAAAATAATTATAAAGATAAACATTTACCATGTGTTAAAATCAGAAACTGTACTAAACTGGAATTATATCCTCAAATCTTCTTAACAGACTCAGGAACTGTACTGTTACTTCAGAGAGGGTCAAATTAAACAAAAGAGATGGAAATCTTTGTCAACTGAAAAGACACATAGTAAAATATGTGTTTAAATAAGTACAACATGACTTATTTGACACATCCATTTGTATCAATCGTACTCATTTTTAAACTTCTTAACCAAACATCAGGTATAAATTATTTGAATAATTTGTTTTAATAACAAAAATTAGTATTATAATTGTCATTATTTACAGCAAAATGTTACTAGTGAACTCATGTTTCAGGGCTGGAGCAGCTTTGGATGATCCTAGAGTAAAATTCACAGAAGGGCTAACTAGGTCCCAGAGCAGTGGGAAATAAGCTACTTCTAACAGGCTAGGCTGGATAAGGGTAGATTAAAACAAAAGCAATCAATGCAGCATTTGGTTGGACTTGGTCTGTAGTGCAATGTCCAGGAAGTATTTCTTATGACAACTTGAAAATGTGGGATGATTTTAATGTTTTTGCTTCAAAACATAGATTATATAATTAATCACTTGGAAAATCCTAGAGAAGAAAAATAAATGATGTAACTGGTAAGATTGTTTAAAAAGGTAAGAACAGGGGAAAAAACAAGTATACAACAAGATTATTTGATTTCCTATACATAAGTAGTAATCAGAAAAGACAATGGAAAAGTAACCTATGTACAAAAAAGGGGGAAAATTGTAATACCGAGAAATAAATATATTATAAACTTTTTTGGATCTATATAAGGAAAATACAAACTCTTCCAACAGGTAAATAAAAGGCTTCATTACCTACAAATATATTTATGGTTCTGGATGAGAAGAATCAATATTGCAAAATGCTAACATTTGAACCTTTATTATAATATAATTTAAATGTCTCATTTTGCAGTATACCAAATTCATATTAAAGTTTATTTGCCAGAATAAATAAGTGAAATTAGCCAAACAGTATACATATTTTAATAAAAGGTATCGTGTAAGAAATGGGAGGGTTATGAGCAGAATGTTTCATTACTAAGTGTAAATGAAAGCATACAATTACAGTCATTAAAACAATACCTATTGCCCGGGTGTGGTGGCTGACGCCTGTAATCCCAGCACTTTGGGAGGCCGAGGTGGGTGGATCACAAGGTCGGGAGATCGAGACCATCCTGGCTAACACGGTGAAACCCCGTCTCTACTAAAAAATACAAAAAAAGCATTAGCCGGGAGTGGTGGCGGGCGCCTGTAGTCCCAGCTACTCAGGAGGCTGAGGCAAGAGAATGGCGTCAACCCAGGAGGCGGAGCTTGCAGTGAGTCGAGATCACGCCACTGCACTCCAGCCTGGGCAACAGAGCAAGACTCTGTATAAAAAAAAAAACAAAAAACCCCAAAAAACACAAAAAAGACCCAATAGCTATTGGTTTAATAACTAGAGGAAAGATATAAAGGACAAGCTTAACAAAAAAATCCTATGGGGAAAATAGGAAAGCGAATATAAAATAAAATGAGATTCTCACATTGTACCTACCCACAAAACACATTTCATGATAGATGAAGGGTTAAACCTTAAAATATGATAATGCAAAAATACAACTTTTGACATTCTTTATTGTGAAGTAGAAAAGCGATTTGCAGAGCAATGTGCATAAGATATTCCAGTTTTTCTCAATATAATTAACAACATATATATGTTTTTATATATATAACATGTATATATATACACACACATATATATATATATACACACATTGCTGTGTAAAAGGACAATCATGAGTCTACAGTTTTCTCAAGGGGGAAAACTATGGGACCAGACAGAGGCATGTGTACATGGATCCTTTACCTTCACATAATCTCTTCAGCTACGATAAAGAAAATTTTGTTAAGCCACAACAAATTACAAACATGAACAAAACTGAGAGCTGAAAAACTCTTGTTTGAATGAGATATTCTCAGAAACATTTCTCAAGTGAACATTCACTTGAGAGTATTATCAATGAATGAAACATTACTTTAAAAACAATTGAAAAATAAACATAAGGAAAAGGTCCTCACTCATCAATGCTGTTAAGAAAGAAAGCAATTTTCTATAATGGTACATATAATGTGTTCCAGTATTTATTAAAATGATGCATGCTTACATATCTCTTTAAGGTTGGAAAAGCCAATGGAAAAACATCTACCTAGCTGTGAAAGTGGAAGGGAAAAGCAATAAATATCATTAAATATCCTCTCTAAAAAAATCTTTGCACTATTTCTCTAGATTAAATTACTATGTATTAAATTTATAATTAAAAGAAATTAGAGATTAAAATGCCTTACCTACAGAGGAGCAAGAAAAAGAATTAGATTGGACTTCTCATCAGAAACCATATAAACAAGAAAAATAGGAGTGAAATATTTAGTGTTTAAAGAGTCTCCCTCTCACAAACCTAGCATTCTGTACTCAGATAAGTTATACTTCAAAAGTGAAAAATAAATACTTTATTCAAAAATGAATATTGAAAGAATTTGATTCCAATAGACCTCTCTTGCAAGATATCTTAAAAGAAGTTATGCAGATATAATGAAGATAATGTAGGTCAGAAATTCAGGTCACCATAAAGAAAGGAAGAACATCAGAAAAGGACTAAATGAGGTAACATATTTTACTGTTCTCATTCTTTTTTAAAAAAAAATTCTGAATGCCAAATTTATACAATTTAAAAAATTCTGAGATCATCTTTTCTATTCCTTTTTAAATTCAATTCACATTTACATATTTGCATTAAATTTACATCACATTTAAATGATAAGGATAGTGAATGGTAATTTTTTCAGCTTCAGGTATAACTGACAAATAAGAACTATATATTTATGATGTACAACATGTATTGATATGTGTATCTATTGTGAAATGATTAAATCAAACTAATTAAATACTCATAGACCTACATACTTTTGTGTGTGTGTTGAGGACATTTAAAATCTAACCTCTTAGCAATTTTTAAGTACAAATGACACTTGAACACAGGGGTTAGAAGTGCCCAACCTCCATACAATCAAAAACCTGCATATAACTTTTGACTTTGGCAAAACTTAATTACTAACAGCTTACTGTTGACCAGAATCTTTATCGATAACATAAACAGTCAATTAACACATATTTTGTGTGTTATATGTATTATATACTGCATTTTTACAATAAACAAATGTTATTAAGAAAATCATAAGGGAGAGAAATATATACTGCTCAGTAAGTTGTAGTGGATCATCATGAAAGTCTTCATCCTCATCATCTTCACTCTGGGCGGAGGAGGAGGAATAAGCAGGGGGAGTTCGTCTTGCTGTCTCAAGGTTGGCAGAGGCAGAAGAGGTGGATGAGAGGGGCGGGGAGGCCAGAGAGGCAAGCACACTAGGAATAACTTGACAGAAATACATTGTAATTTCTGTTTATTTTGCTTTTTCATTTCTCTAGAAATGTTTCTATGTGGCATCCATTCTTCCACCATTTGCTTTAGTTTTAGTGCTTATATCATAGATGGGTCCATGTTATGTAACAAGTCGAAAACAGTCTTGAATAATCCCAACCCTTCTACCAGCTTGTCTAGTGTCAACTTGTTTTGTGGCATTGCTTCTTCTATGTCTTCTTCCTCATCATCTGGTGCTGGTTCAGAAGCACTCATCTACATTAAGTTGTCTTCTGTTCATTTTCAGGTAGAGTGCCTATTAGCTCTTTGATTTCTCCAAGGCACATATCTTGAAATCCTTTACTTCCCACCTTTTTTTTTTTTTTTGCCATATCCACAATCTCTTTCATGATTTCCTTGATTGGCTCTGTCATAAATCCTGTGAAGTCATATATAACATTTGGACACAGTTTTCTCCAGCAGAAACTTATGTTTCAGGGTTGATGGCTTTCATGGCTTTTTCTATAAGGATGGTGTCTTCAATGACATAATACTTCCAGATGTTCATGATGTTCTCTCTATCAGGGTTCTCTTCAATAGTGTTGACAATCTTTTCCATACAGTAAAATGTGTAATGAGCCTTAAAGGTCCTTATGACCCCTTGATATAGAGGCTGAATTACAGACTTTGTGTTTGGGAGAAAGTAGAACACTTTGACATCTTTGATGTTGAAATTATGGGGTTTTGAGTGGCTAGGGGCATTGCCCAATATCAACATGACTTTAAAAACAGTTTCTATTGGCAAAGTATTTCCTGATTTCAGGGACAAAGCTTCAGTGGAACCAACCCAGAAAAAGGATACTCATTGTCCAGGCCTTCTTGTTTCACAACCAAAAGACTGGCGGCTCATGTTTATCTTTTCCTTTCAAGTCTCAGGGGTTAGTAGCTTTATAAATAAAGGCAGTCCTGATCACAAACCCAACTGTATTTGCAGAAAACAGTAGAGTTAGCATATCCCTTCCTGCCTTAAATCCTGTTGCTTGCTTCTCTTTCATACTATTAAATGTTATTTGTGGCATTTTTTTTCCAGAATAGGGCACTTGCCTTTGCATTAAAAACCTGCTCCGGCAGATATATTTTCTCCTCAATGATTTTCCTAATGGCATCTGGGAACTCATCTGCTACCTTTTGGTTGACAGAAGCCGTTCTATTATCTTGACATTTTTAAAGCCAAACCTTTCTAAAATCATCAAACCATCCTTTGCTTGCATTAAATTGTGTAGCTTTATATCCTCCACCTTCGTTTTGCTTTAACTTGTCTTATAATGACTTCACTTTTTCTTGAGTTATATTAGAGTTTATAGATACGCCTGCGTTACAGCAATCCTGCATCCACATAAAAACTGCATTTTCAATGAGATAAAAAGGTATTTCACAAAAAGTGTAAGGGTTTTTTTGCATGTGTAAGTGCCTGCTGGCATAGATGCAGTGAAGGCTTCATGAATTTTCTTTTATTTCTTTACAATGATCCTTAAGCTGGATTCATTAATTTTCAAATGGTGGGCAACCACAACCGCAGACCTCAGTCTATGGTACATACCAAACCATTCAATATTTTCTTGTAATGTCACAACGTATTTCTGCCTCTTGGCAGCACTTCCAGCATCACTAGTGGCACTTTGTATGGGCCCCATCGTTGTAAACAATTTATGATAATTAACTATAATTACTATGTTATGTAGTAATTTTTCAGAACTTATCTCGTGTAACTGTCACTTTATACCTTGTGATGACAAATAGCTCCAAATTCTAACTTCACCCCTACCCCCTTGGCACCACATTCTACTCTGGTTCTATGAGTTGAACTTTTTAGATTCCACATATAAGTGAGATCATGTAGTGTTTATTTTCATGTGCCTGGGTTATTTCACATATTATCATGTCCTCCTTGTTCATCCATGTTGTCACAAATAACAGAATTTCCTTCTTTTTTAAAGGCTGAATAGTATAGTTGTCTCTCCATATCTGCAGGGGATAGGTTTCAGGACCCCTGCAAATACCAAAATATGAGAATGCTCAAATCCCTTATATAACAAGATATAGTATTTGCATATAACCTACACACATCCTCCTGTGTACTTTAAGTCATCTCTAGTTTACTTATAATATCTACTAAAATGTAAATGCTATGTAAGTAATTGTTCTACTGTATTGCTCTTTATTGGAATTATATTTCTTTTTTTTGTCAAATATTTTTGATCTGTTGGTTACAGTTGGTTGAATTGCAAGTACAAAAAGCTGACTATATTCTGATGTGTGTGTGTGTGTGTGTGTGTGTGTGTAGATAGATAGACAGATAGACACCACATTTTCTTAATTCATTCATTGGTTGTTAGACACTTAACCCTTAGGTTGACTCCATACCTTGGCTGGCTATTGTGAATAATGCTACAATAAACATGAGAGTGTATATATCTTTTCAACATATTTATTGCATTTCCTTTGGGCATGCACACTGTGATGTTTAATATTGAGTGTCAACTTGATTGAAGGATGCAAATTATTGTTCCCGGGTGTGTCTGTGAGGGTGTTGCCAAAGGAGATTAACATTTGAATCAGTGGACTGGGAGAGGTAGACCCACTCTGAATCCAGGTGGGCACCATCTAATCAGCTACCAGCATGGCTAGGATAAAAGCAGGCAGAGGACAATGGAAGGCCTAGACTGGCCTGAGTTTTCTGGCCTCCATCTTTTTCCTGTGCTGGATGCTTTCTGCTCTCAAACACTGGACTCCAAGTTCTTCAGCTTTTGGACTTTTGAACCTACACAGGTGGTTTGCCACGGGGTCTTGGGCCTTTGGCCACAGACCAAAGGCTGCATTCTTGGCTTCCCTACTTTTGAGATTTGGGGACTTAAACTGGCTTTCTTGCTCCTCAGCTTGCAGATGGCCTATTGTGGGACTACACCTTGTGACCGTGCGAGTCAATACTTCTTAATAAACTCTCTTCCGTATACACTTCTCTCTTATTAGTCCCGTCCCTCTAGAGAGCCCTGAGTAATACAGATTTTGGTACTGGGAGTGGTTCTAGAGGAACAGAATTTTAAGGATGGAGTTCTTTAGTTGGTTTTGGGGTTTCTGGAGTTGGCTGCTTAATATGATTAGACACCAAAATGCTAAGGACTCTACTTTTAATTGTATGCAGAACACTGAGAGTCCATGGCATAAACTGTTTAAAGAGTTATGCAAAATAAATGCATTTGATACTCCTGATCCGCCGCTCGTGAGAGGCAAGGAATTTAGTGACTCTATACATAATACGTTTGACCATATGTGGAGAACCAAGGAATAAAATGAAGTTGGTTGGTTGCTCCTAAGTTCACTAGACAGAGTGATGAAAGAAAATGATGAACTCAGGGATTCTATGTCTTAGCTCCAAAAGACTATATTCTGCTTTAAGTCACCTCTAGTTTACTTATAATATCTACTAAAATGTAAATAAGCCTCAAATCTTCTAAGATTGCCCTGAGTGAGAGTCTTATCTCCTGTAGAGAAAGGGCTGAAATTGTGGAAAATCAGACACAAGCTCTTGTCATGCGAGTGGCTGACCTTCAACGAAAGGTGCATGCACAGCCTCGCCAGGTGTCTACTGTTAAAGTGAGGGGCATTGATTGGCAAAGAAGGAGACCCTGATATTTGGAATGAGGATATGTGAAAGGACCCTGATGAGTCTGGGGGCACTGAACTCCTAAATTCTGATGAGCCATTTTCACCAGAGAAAACAGCTTCCACACCCTCAGTGGTGAAAAAAAATCCCCTCCCCCACCAAGGCTGCCATCAGCCTTTCCACCTTTGTCTGAGGAGATTAACCATGCACTGCCTGAGGCAACAGTGATGGCCTCCCCTGAGGCAATTGCCAGGCAAGAGAATGTTGATTCTGCTCAGGACCCACCCCCAACCCCCCTGTTTTTTTAAAGACCTATAGCTAGACTAAAGTCCCGACAAGCCTCTAGAGGTGAGGTTCAGAGTATGACCCAGGAGGAAGTGTACTATACTCCAAAAGAACTGCTTGAGTTTTCTAATGTATATAATCAGAAATCTGGGGAACAGGCATGGGAATGGATATTAAGTATCTGAGATAATGGCAGAAGAAACATAAAGTTGGATCAGGCTGAATTCATTGACTGGGCCCACTTTGAAGGTATTCTGCATTTAATGTTGTAGCTTAGGGAGTTAAAAAAGGTCCTAACGGTTTATTTGCTCAGTTAGCTAAAATATGGATCAAAAGATGGCCCACTGTGAGCGAGCTGGAAATGCCTGATCTCCCTTGGTTTAATGTAGAGGAAGGGATCCAAAGGCTTAGGGAGACTGAGATGCTACAAACTAGCCTTGTAGTAGAGTTTGAAGTTGGGCAATGTGATACCTCCAGCTTTATCTTTGCTTAGAATTGCCTTGACTTATTCAGGATATTTTTGGGTTCCATTGAAATTTTAGGCTAGTTTTTTCTAATTCTATGAAGAATGCCATTGGTACTTTGATAGGAATAGCATTGAATCTATACGTTGCTTTGGGAAGTATGACCATTTAAAAAATATTGAGTCTTCTTATTCCATGAGCATGTAATATTTTCCTAGGTATTTTACTATTTTTGTAGCTATTGTGAATGGGATCATGTTCTTGATTTGGCTCTCAGCTTGCATGTTGTTAGTGTATAGAAATGCTACTCATTTTTGTATATTTGTTTTGTATCTTGAAACTTCATCGATGTTGTTTATCATATCAAGGAGTTTTTGGGCAGAGACCATGGGGTTTTCTAGGTAAAGAATTATATTGATAGGGTTTGGCCGTGTCCCTACCCAAATCTCACCTTGAATTGTAATAGTCTCCACGTGTCAAGGGTGGGGCCAGGTGGAGATAATTGAATGATGGGGTTGGTTTCCCCCATACTGTTCTCGTGGTAGTAAATAAATCTCACAAGATCTGATGGTTTTATAAGTTGGAGTTCACCTGTACAAGCTCTCTTGCCTGCCACCATGTAAGATGTGACTTTGCTCCTTCTTTGCCTTCTGCCATGATTGTGAGGCCACTCCAGCCATGTGGAACTGTGAGTCAATTAAACCTCTTTCCTTTATACATTACCCAGTCTTGAGTATGTCTTATTAGCAGTATGAGAACAGACTAATACACATGTTATTTGTAAACAGAGATATTTTTACTTCTTCTCTTCCTATTTGGATGCCTTTAATTTCTTTCTCTTGCCTGATTGATCTGGCCCGGACTTCCAGTCCTATGTTGAATAGGAGTGGTGAGAGAGGGCATCCTTGTCTTGTTCCAGTTTTTGAGGGGAATGCTTCTACCTTTTGCCCATTCAGTATGATTTTGGCCATGGGTTTGTCATAGATAGCTTTTATTATTTTGAAGTATGTTCCTTCAGTGCCTAGTTTATTGAGGTTTCTTTTTTTTTAACACGAAGGAATGTTCCATTTATTTGAAAGCCTTTTCTGCATCTATTCAGATAATCATAAGGTTTTGTTTTTAGCTCTATTTATGTGATAAATCACATGTATTGATTTGTGTATGGTGACCCAACCTTGCACCCCATGGATAACACCTACTTGAACATGGTTGATTAGCTTTTTGATGTGCTACTGGATTCACTTTTCTAGTATTTTATTGAAAATTTTTACATCTGTTAATCAAGGATAAGGATATTGGCCTGAAGTGTGTGGGTTTTTTTTTTTTTTTTTTTTTCTGTGTCTCTGCTAGGTTTTTGTATCAGGATGATGCAGTCCTCAAAGAATGAGTTAGGAAGGAGTTCCTCCTCCTCAATTTCTTTTTGGAATAATTTCAGTAGGAATGTTACCAGCTCTTCTTTATGCATATGGTAGAATTCAGCTGTGAATCCGTCTGGTCCTGTTTTTTTTTTTTTTTTTTTTTTTGGTTGACAGGCTTTTTATTACTGATTGAATTTCAGAGCTCATTATTGGTCTGTTTAGGGATTCAGTTTCTTCCTGGTTCAATTTCGGGAGGTTTTATGTGCCCAGAAATTTATCCATTTATTCTAGGTTTTCTGGTTTGTGTGCATAGAGGTGTTCATAATAGTATCTGAGGACTTTTTGTATTTCTATGGGGTAAGGGTTAATGTCCCCTTTTTCATTTCTGATAGTGTTTACTTGAATATTCCCTATTTTTCTGTATGTCTAGCTAGTGATGTCTCTACTTTATTATTAGTTTTTAAAATAATCAACTTCTCGATTCCTTGATCTTTTGTATGGTTTTCCACATCTCAGTTTCCTTTAGCTCAGCTTTGATTTTTGTTATTTCTCGTCCTTTGCTAGCTTTGGGAATAGTTTGCTCTCATTTCTCTAGTTCTTCTAGTTGTGATGTTATGTTGTTAATTTGAGTTTTTTCTAACATTTTATGTAGGCGTTTAGAGCTATAAGCTTCCCTCTTAACATTGCCTTGGCTGTGTCCCAGAGATTCTGGTATGTTGTATCTTTGTTCTCATGAGTTTCAAAGAATTTCTTGATTTCCTCCTTAGTTTCATTATTTACCCAAAAATCATTTGGGAGCAGGTTGTTTAATTTCCATGTAACCATACAGTTTTGAGCAATTTTCTTAGTATTGATTCTATTTTTATTGTGCTCTGATATGAGAATGCGGATGGTATAATTTCTATTTTTTAAAATTATCTGAGGTTTGGTTTATGTCTGATAATGTGTTCAATTTTACAGTATGTGCCATGTGAAGATGAGAGGAATGTCTATTCTGTTCTGTTGGGTATAGTGTTCTGTAGATGTCTATGAGGCCCATTTGGTAAAATGCTGAGTTCACATCCAGAATATCTTTGTTAGTTTTCTGCGTTGATTACGTATCTAATGTGTCACTGGGTTGCTGAAGCCTCCCACCATTACTGTGTGGTTATCTAAGTCTTTTTGTAGGTCTCTAAGAAGTTGATTTATCAATCTGGGTGCTCCTGTGTTGGGTGCATCTGTATCTAAGATAGTTAAGCCTTCTTGTTGAATTGAGCTCTTTACCATTAGGTAATACTCTTCATTCTCTTTTGTAATCTTTGCTGTGTTGAAGTCTCTTTTGTCTGAAATTATAATAGCAACCCCTGCTTTTTACTGTTTCACATTTTCTTGGTACATTTTTCTCTATCCTTTTAGTTTGAGCCTATGCAAGTCATTGCATCTCTCATTGCATCTCTCATTGCATCAGGAGCCTCATGAAGATAACATACTGTTTGGTCTTGCTTCTTTATCCAACTTGCCATACTGTGCTTTTTAATTGGAGCATTTAGCCCATTGACATTCAAGGTTAGTATAGATATGGGCAGATTTGTTTCTGTCATAATATTGTTAGCTGGTTATTATGTAGACTTGTTTTTGTGGTTGCCATACAATGTCACTACTCTACATACTTAAGTGTGTTTTTGTAGTGGTTGGTAACAGTCTTTTTTTTTACATGTTAACGCTCCTTTCAGGACCTTTTTAAGGCCAGTATGGTGGTAATGAAATCCCTTAGTATTTGCTTGTCTGAAAAGGATCTTACTTCTCCTTTGCTTATGAGGCTTAGTTTGGCTGGATATGAAATTCTTGGCTGGAAACTCATTTCTTTAAGAATGCTGAGTATAGCCCTTAATTCTGTTCTGGCTTGTAGGGTTTCTGCTGAAAGGTCAGCTGTTTGACTGATACAATTCTTTTTCTAGCTGACCTGCCCCTTCTCTCTACCTATCTTTAATATTTTTTATTTTTTTGACCTTGGAGAATGTGATGACTATGTGTCTTGGGGGTGGTCTTCTTGTGTAGGATTTTACAAAGTTTTTCTTCATTTCCTGAATTTGAATGTTGACCTCTCTAGCAAGGTTGGGGAAATTTTAAAGGACGATATCCTGAAATATGTTTTCAAGCTGCTTACTTTTTCTCCCTGTCTTAGATTCTCTCTCATTTTCTCTCAGGAATGTCAATGAGGCATAGATTTGGTCTCTTTACATAGGTATGGACATTGTAATATTAATTCTTCTATAAGCATGAAACCTCTTTTCATTTATTTGTTTCATCTTCATTTCCTTTCATCAAGGTGTTTTACTTTTCAGTTTACATATTTTCATCTCTTTGATTAATTTTTTCTAAGCATTTTATTTTTTTCTTGATGCTATTATAAATGGGATTGTTTTCTTGATTTCTTTTTCAGATGATCAGTTTTTAGTGTGTAGAGACACTACTGATTTTTGTACGTTGATTTCATACCCTGCAAATTTTCTGAAGTTGTTAGTTAGTTCTTACAGTGTTTTGTGGAAACTTTAGGTTTTGCATATACAAGATCACTTCTCCTGCAGGCAGAGACATTTTTGTCTCTTTTCCAATGGATGCCGTTTCTTTTCCTTGCCTAATTTTTTTGGCTAGGACTTCCATTACTATGTTGAATAGAAGTGGTGACAGTGTGTTAGGGGACCACAAATATCTGAATTGCCAACTGGTCTGCAGCAACCTGAATTCTTGCCTCCTCAGAAGAGATAATTCAACTGAGCAGCATAAGTCAGAAAAAGAGACCAAGGCAAGTTTCAGAGCAGGAGTGGAAGTTTACTAAAAAGCTTCAGAGCAGAAAAGAAAGGAAAGTACACTTGAAAGAGACCCAAGAGTGCACTTTTGAGGTCAACCGCCCCATTTAACCTTATCCTAGGGCATTATATGCTGGCTGACTTCCGGTGTCTTACACCCGCTTCCCTTCGTTCTTCTCTAAGGGTGAGCCGCCGCATGTGCGGTGCCCTCTTTACTCTTGGGAGGCGAGCATGTGCAGGGTGTTTAGGAAGTTGTATGCATGCCCACTTGAGGCTTTCTTCCCTTTTCCAGTGGAATGACCCCGGAAGATTATACTTTGCCATTTTGCCTCTTAATGTGCATGCTCAAGCTCACTCACCGAATTTCTGAGATTTTATTGAAAACTGATTACCCGTTTCAAGTGTTTTTATCTGTTTGAGAAATTGCCTTTCCCTGGTGCCTGTGTTCAATTATCACTTTAGTGTGACAACTGTAGACCATGAGGAAATTGCCTTCCCCTGGTACTGACTGCCAATTATCATTTTTTACAGAGCAGTGTGATAACTGCGGAACCATCACTTTACGGTCCTGTGACATTCCTGGTGGGTGTAGGAGGGACCTCTCACCTGCCTCACTTATGCCTGGCTAGCTATCTACTGTAACCGGTGGGCATTCTTGTCTTTTTCCTAATCTTAAAAAAAGACTTTCAGTTTTTCACAATTGAATATGATGTTAGTTGTCGGCTTGTGATATATGACCTTTATTTGCTGAGTGTTATCATAAAAGTATGTTGAGTTTTGTGCGATGATTTTTCCTCATCTATTGAGATGATTATATATTTTTTTGCTTTCATTTTATTACTGTGATGCATCACATTTATTGATTCGTGTATTGTATTAGTACGTTTGTATTACCATAAAGGAATATCTGAGGCTGGGTAATTTATAAAGAAAAGTTCATTTGGCTCATGGCTCTGTGGGTTCTGCAAGAAGCTTGCTGCTGGCAACTATATCTGGTGAGAGAGGCGGAAGTGTCTGGCTGTTTTCAGCGACCATTTCTCATGGAAACCTATTGTGACCGCTCACTCACTCCCTTGAGAACAGCACCAAGCCATTCTTGAGGGTTCTGTCCCTGGGGTCCAAACATCTCCCACCAGGCCCCACCTCCAACATTTGGAATCAAATCTCAATAGGAGACTTGGTGGTGCTCAACAAAGCATATTCAAACCATAGGACATGTATCGAACCAATTTTGCATTCCATGACATGAAATTGAATAGAAACATATTAACCAAACAAGAACTACTATAATATACCTAGGGATTAATTTTAAATAAGTATTCAAAAAATTCACACACAAATTATATTTTTTCCCAGGAAAAGATAAATATTGCCAATGTACTGCTATTTGACCTCAAACAAGACAGATTAGGAGTCTCCTCAAACAAGGAAGCTTTTGACTTGGAGAAGTTAACTGTTGTTTTTAGTTTATGATTGATTGAGACAAATATATGAAGATACCTTGGTAAATGAAAACAAAGATAAAATCCTAATCAATACCTTATATCATAAGATTCCAATTCAAGTAATTTCAAATTTCAAAACATACCATACTGTTTTCCTATTCAAAACAACTCACTTGTCAAACAACATGTAAGAATTTGGGTAAGCAATTTTTCTTATTTTTTCTTTCATTATACTTTAATTTCTGGGATACATGTGCAGAACGTGCAGATTTGTTACATAGGTATACACATGCCATGGAGGTTTGCTGCACCCATCAACCCGTAAGGATTCTTAATAAAATTTACTCACATCATTAAATTACTGTTCTTGATAACAGAAGATATGTTTAGACGTGCAGTAAATGCTAAGAAACTCATGGATAAAATGGCAATATAGTCTATTCGAACTCCTCATGCGGCACTCACATACCTGAATATGCATGAACATCATAGGTCTAAAGGACCACGTGTCAATGAGAAGGGAAGGACATAATCCCTAAAACAGCCTGGACTAGTGCTGACTGGCTGGTTTTGGTCTGCAATAAAAAGCAATTAACTGATGATAACAAAATGTTAAGTGGTTTCATTTTTACATCTCCATACATTGAAATCAGGTATTAATCATTTTGAGAAAACTAAAAAGTCTTTGGGAAATAAGAGAGTCATTAGGTTGAGACAGAAAATACATATAAATAACTTAAGAAATTTATGATAGGCAGTGATAGTCAAAAAATCAATTTTTACTCAATTCTACTTACCATAAAAATTGTATAAATCTCATGCACAAATTGATTAGGTAACATTCAATACAGAAAGGAAGAGGAGTAAAAACTATTTGGAGAATTATGAAACAGTACACATATTCAGAGTTATGTACATGTTGGTGGAAGAGAAAGCCCTGTTGCAAAAATGATTTTATTCAAATTCTTTGTAGTATTGACATGATAGAAACCCCAATGAGATATTTAGGTAAATTTAAGAAACTAACACTGATCTCAAAGCATAATGAGATGAAAGTATTCAAGGAATAAAAGAAAGGAATAAAAGAAAGACTTCTGCAAGAAAAGAGTCTAAATTGTAGTTTCAAGCTATAATAATTAAGATATCATGTAATGCTCTCTGGTAAGTTTCTGTAGATCTCAGGAACACAACTAATAGCACCAATAATATTAAATAATTTTGACATCAGAGAGAGGAAAAATTGGAAATCAGAACTTGTACTAACATTCATCTGTGGATTTCAAGACACATGAATATAAACTGTGAATATAAACATATGAATATAAACTCTATAGATATCTATAATGTATTGCTGTGTGAGAAAATCAAATTGCAGAATGCGTATTATAAGATCCAGCTTGGTAAAATGCAATTCTAAACACTATGTCAGTATACATCTATGTTTATGTATTTATTTAAACACAGAAAAGTCATTCATCATCTACGAAGTTTACTCCTCCCAGCTTCAAATTTCTCAGGCAATAAAAATCCCTATTCTGAGAAATGGTAATAGTATTATTAGTAATAAAACCAACACAATTAGAATTGACTGAGAGTGACAATGAGTCAGACAATGTGCTGAGTGCTTTTATCTGGTAATTGTCTTAATCATCACATCAATCTTATGGAAGAGATTCTCCCATTATTGCTAATTTAGAAGTTTGTCTCAAGGATCACAGGTGCCAATACATTTGTATAGACACATAATAAATTATTATACACATTTTTTCATATAACAATGCACAATTAGGAATTATATTTTTGTATTTTAAAACTAAAATATGGACATATCTACATATACAGCTTAGAAATCTTTCTCTGGTTACACTAAGAGAAACTGACATTGTATTGAACAAATTGACAAAGAAAATCTTTAAAAACATTAGCACCAGCTACTCTCTTGTTTTCTGACTTGAAACAAGTCACTAATCTTCTCCAAGTCTCAAACTTCCCATTCCGAAAAAGAAGGCAATGACTGTCTCATCATAATAAAAGAACAATAACGATAGAATCATAATGTAGTTAGAAACATTCACTGAACGTTTACTCAGGTGTCACAGAGTGTGGAAATGCCTTAATGGGAATAACCTCTCTTTACCCTCAAAAACATCTGATGCCATAGATATTATTCATTCTATGCTGCAGGACTGCTACTAGAATTAAATGAGGCAGGATAGGGGGTAAATCGTATGTTTGTGAACTAAAAAGTGACTCAGAAACCTAAGTAATTATATTATTTTAGTAAATTTGATTCTGTTCTCCAAAAATATCATACAGCAGACCCATTTAGAAGTTACATGCCTAGCTACAAAGATGTAAGCACTGTAATTCTTATTCTTTATTTCTTCCTTCCATCATTCAGAAAAAAAATATTAACTGCCTATGTGTGAGGCACTGTTTATGTGTGGGATAAATCACTGAACAAACCAGAGATCTCCAGTCATGATGGTTTCATTCTGCTGGGAGGAGGAAGACAAGGAAACAAGTTAAGACAACTCATCCCAGTTTGCATGGGACTTTTCTGGTTTTAAAACTGAAAAGTTCCACAACCTGGGAAACCCCTCCACCCCTTACTTCCAAGCAAGCCTAGACGATTTTTCACTCTACAGAAAACATAATGAATAAATGAAAAACCATGCTAGAATGTGATATGCGATATGAGATAAAGAAGCAAGTGAGTAAAGCAAGGTGGGAGATTGGGAAAGCTAAAGACAAAGATGAGAATGCTGTATTAATTGGAGAGGTCATAGTAGGCATGATTGAGTAGGTGACATTGGACCAAAGATCCTTGAGTTTTAAGAGTCAACCCAACTGATAGCTGGGAGGAAGACTCTTCAGAAAGAGCAAGCAGTCATTTCGAAAATCTGAGGGAGACTGTAACGGGGGTGTCTGAGGAACAGCAGAGAGGCTAAGGTGGCTGGAGACCTAAATATCTCTCATGTGTTGTGGTTTTAGGTGACTGACTATGGAAATCTGGAGAATCTGGCAAAAATTCCTCTCTAAAGAGACTAACCGAGGGCCCAGATTTCACAGCAGGGTTCTAGCAGGCAGAGTATGAGGGGTGGGGAGGAAAGCCTAGATGCAAATCAAGTCTATTATCTCCCTCGGTTTTAATAACTACCCGTTGTGACTATGTAAAGTGAGGACTAATGTTAATTTTGCAGTGCAAACACATGAATGATATTAGCAAAGCATACAACCCATGAATCTCCCCTTCTCCTCTAAAACAGCCTTAAGCAAGTTGGGCAGATTGAAAATAAAACTAGACAAATTATTATTTCATCAGTATTACACCACCATTAATTATTTTGAAAAGTTAACCAAATTTAGTATGAATTTGTAATTCACAACATTTGAAAATTTAGAACGATATTTATTAAGAATTCCTCAAGTTCTATACAAAAAACGATAAACTTTTTCTAAACAAGTGAAAGTAGTTCACAAAACCATGTATGTACATTATGTGGCTTAGGGAATGTCAATATCAAAATTTGTTATATTTTCTCAAAAAATCTTTGATTTTTCACAACAGTTAAATTAAAAATAAAAATGTAATGTTACCTTATTAGAAATTTTAAAAATATATTTAAATTTCAACTGGAAAAGTATGTAGCTCTTAGGTGAGATAATATAGACAATATTACTTGAGAACTAAAAAAAAGGTAATGGGGCATATTTACTACTATAGATATTGATCCTACATTAATTACAACAACGAGTATTATACAAGAATTGACAAAGAATTCTTAAACAGAATTAATCATCTAATAGTGTTGAGCACAGTCATGGTTGTAAAGCAAAATATAATTAAACACCCAGGCAATGCAAACTAATGCATTTTGCATGGGCAACAAAAAATGAATTTAAAGATATAACACAATAGAATCATATGGAAAAGGAGGATAACCATGACTTAGTGTTAAGTAGGAATGTAAAATCCTAAAATAAATTAAGCTACATGGATATCCATTATTCACTTTTAAATTTGAAAAGAGGCATATTGCGGAATGAGTATTTTAAGATCCCCTTTTTAATATATATTCATAACTCTTATTTGAAAATTGTGTACACTATAAAGATTAATTATAAACAGAAGGTTTGAAGAATACTGAAGAGCTTAAACAAATACCAACCCATGCCACAGAATATGAAAATCTGATATTATAAAGCTGTTAAATTTTAAACATTTGCATATATTTTCTATATATAAGAAACTTGAAATCCCTATTAAAAGGTTTTGAGAATTTGGTAAATTATTATTAAAACTCCATTTGTGATAATGTACTTCTGAGAGTAATCAAGGTAAACCTAAAAAGAAATTATAGAAAGGGTATTCACTATACAAATAATTGAATTTGTGATCAATTGCAATAATTGTAATAATGTGTTTTGAGCTCAAAAATTGACAGACATCAATAAAATGAAATTGGTTCATTATATATATGTATGTGTATATATATATATATATATATATATATTTTTTTTTTTTTTTTTTTTTTTTTTTTTTGAGACGTAGTCTTGCTCTGTCACCCAGGCTGGAGTGCAGTGGCGTGATCTCAGCTCACTGCAAGCTCCACCTCCCGGGTTCACACCATTCTCCTGCCTCAGCCTCCCGAGTAGCTGGGACTACAGGTGCCCACCACCACGCCTGGCTAATTTTTTGTATTTTTTAGTAGAGTTGGGGGTTCCATCATGTTAGCCAGGATGGTCTCAATCTCCTGACCTCGTGATCCACCCACCTCGGCCTCCCAAAGTGCTGGGATTACAGGTGTGAGCCACCACGCCCGGCCCATTATATTTTGTTTTGTTCATTAGATATTTGGGAAAAACTGTCAGATTAGAATCTCATTTGAAATGATACACTCCAATGCAATCCATAAAGGATTGAAAGTTGAGTTTCCCATCATTAAGCAAAAATATTTATGAGATATCCATGATAATATTCTTAAGACCAAAAATATTTGCTGAATAGTGATTCTTCACCATCTGGTTTGGGTGGAAGAAGAGATAAGAATGGCATAAAAATAAAACCTGTGTGTATACATGCTTAATGATTTAGCATGCTTTATCTGTTATTGTCTGAATGTTTGTGTATCTCCCCAAAATCTATATATTGAAATCATAACCCCCAATTTGATGGTTTTTGGAGGTGGGAACTTTGGGAGGTAATCAGGTAATGAAGGTGAAACCTTCATGAATAAGATTAGTGCCCTTTTAGTAAGTCAGAAAACTAGCTAGCTCTTTCTGCCATGAGAATTCAAGAATTTGGCAGTCTGCAACACAGAAAAGGGCCCTTACCAAAATCAGATCATGCCAGCATCATGATCTCAGACTTCCATCCTCCAGAGGCATAAGAAATAAACTATTGTTGTTTATAAGCCACCCAGTCTATGGTACTTTATTATAGTAGCCTGAACTAAGACTCATGTGTCTACCAAAATTATACTTTGAGATTTTACAGAAAAATTGGTGACTATTAAATTGTTCAATTTTTACACCAAAAGTCTCCAGTGAGTTTGGTTTTTGGATGGCTTCCAGGATAGCCCTGGAAGAGTTAGCTACCAAAACCCATCAAACTTGGTACCCAAGGGCTCAACTGCAGAGCAGAGAGGAAAAATACAGGAATAAAACTTAGGGTAGGGGGATGTTAGATTTGGGTAGGAGTTAGTGTTAGGTGGAGAGTGGGGTTAGACCAGAAAATAATCCATGAAGCAAAGGAGCTTCCTCATTTACATTATGGGGAGGAAATTATAGCATATATTCATTAGGATGATTTGTTGTGTGATTTAGTGGGCTCACTTTCTTGTGCCACACAAAACAATATCTACCAAACTGAATCAAGCAACATACAAACAAGATTACACACTAGGACCAAGTGGGATTTTTTCCAGGAATGCAAAGATGGTTTAACATCTGAAAATAAAACAAATATAATACAACATATCAACAGAAGAAATGAGAAAGACTATTCATTTCTCAACACACACACACACACACACACACAAACACTAGACAAAACCTACCACTTTTTCATGATAAAAATGCCCCCAAAACTAAGAATAGAGTAAAACTTACTAAACCTGATAAGGGCCATATATAAAAAACCCACAACTAACATCATACGTAATTGTTGAAGACTGAATGCTTTCCCTTGAGTATCAATAGCAAAGCAAAGATATTCACTTTAATCATTTCTATTAAACATTTTACAGGTAGTTCTAGCTAGGAGGATCAGGCAAAATGAATAAATAAAAAGGGTCTACGTTGTTAAATAATAAGTACAACTGTATCTATTCATGAATGAAATAATTGTGAATTCATCAAAATCCACAAACTTTATTAGAATTAATAAGTAAATTCCGCAGAGTTGCTGGACACAAAAATATCAATATACAAAAATAAATTTTATTTCCTTATGGTTGCAATGAACAATCCAAAGTGAATTTAAGGATATGCAATTCAATCATAATCACATTAAAAAAGAATGAAATACATAGGAATAAATATGAAAAAGAAGTGCAAGATTTATTGACTAAAAATTCCAAAGCATCACTGAAAAAAATTGAAGAAGACCTAAAGGCATGAACAAAAGACCTCTCCTGTTCATGGATCAGAAAATGTAATAATGTTAAGATATACTACTTCCCAAATTAATTTACAGATTCAATGCAATCTCTAGCAAAATTCCAACTGCTTGCATTAAAAAATGAACAGATGATCTTAAAATACATATGGAAGTACAAGGGATGAAGAATAACCAAAACAACCTTGAATAAGAAATATAGAAGACTCAGACTTTCTGGTTACAAAATTCACTAAAAAGCTATAATAACCAAGACAGTGTGGTGCTGCAGAGAGATATTCATTGATCTATCAATGAGATAGAATTGAGTGTCCAGAAAGAAAGCCCTACATTGGTAATCAATTGATATTTAACAAGATAGTACAAAAATTTAATGAGGAAAAAGATATTCTTTCAAACATATTATGCTGACAAAATTCCATATCAACATATAAAAGAAAAATTGGATCCTATGTCACACCATATATAAAAATTAACTGAAAATGCATTTAAAACTTAAATGTAAGAGCTGAAACTATAACAGTCTTAGAAAAAGGCGTTGGTATTAACTTTCATGACTATGGTGTAGGCTAGGGTTTCTCTATTTTTTATCTTTTATCTTAACTTTTGTGAGTACACAGTAGGAGTATATATTTATGGGGTACACAAGATGATTTGATACAGGCATGAATGGGTAATAATCACATCATGTAAAATGGGGAATCCATTTCCTCAAGCCTTTATCTCATGTTACAAACAATTCAACTATAGCCTTTGTGTTATTTTTTAATGTGCAATTATATTATTATTGACTATGGTGACCCTTTTGTGCTATGAAATAGGTTTTATTTATTCTTCCCAACTACTTTTTTTTGTACTTATTAACCATCCCCACCTCTCTTCCCACACCCTACTACCCTTCCCAGCCTCTGGTAACCATCCTTCTACTCTCTATCTCCATGAGTTAAATTGTTTTGATTTTCAGATCCCACAAATAAGCAAGAACAAGCAATGTTTGTCTTTATGTGCCTGGCTTATTTCACTTAGAGTAATGACTTCAAGTTCCACCTATGTTGTTGCAAATAACAGGATCTCATTATTTTTTATTGCTGAATAGCACTCCCTAGTGTATGATTACCACATTTTCTTTATCCATTCATCTTTGGACATTTGGGTTGCTTTCCAAATGTTAGCTATTGTAAACAGTGCTGCAACAAACACAGGAATGGAGATATCTCTTCAATATACTAGTTTCTTTTTCTGGTATACATACCCAGCAGTGGGATTGCTGGATCATATGGTGGCTCTATTTCTAGCTTTTTGAGGAACCCACAAAATGTTCTCCATAGTTGTACTAATTTACATTCCCACTTACAATATACAAGGGTTCCCTTTTCTCCATATCCTTGCTAGCATTTGTTATAGACTGTCTTTTGAATATAAGCCATTTTAACTGGGGTGAGATGATATTTCATTGTACTTTTGATTTGCATTTCTCTGATCATCAATGATATTGTGCACCTTTTCCTATTCCTATTTGTATGTCTTCTTTTGAGAAATGTCTATTCAAATCTTTTGCCCATTTTTGATGAGATTATTAGATCTTTTCCTACAGGGTTGTTTGAGCTCTTTATATATTCTGGTTATTAATCCCTTGTCAGATGGATAATTTGCAAATATATTCACCCGTTCTGCGAGTTTTCTCTACATTTTCTTGAGTTTATCCTTTGGTATGCAGAAGCTTTTTAACTTGATTTGATCCTATTTGTCCATCTTTGCTATGGTTACCTGTGCTTGTGGGATATGACTCAAGAAATCTTTGCCATGACCAATGTAATGGAGAGTTTTTCGATGTTTTCTTGTAGTTTCATAGTTTGAGGTCTTAGATTTAAGTTTTTAATTCATTTTGATTTTATTTTTGCATGCGGTGAGAGACAGGTATCTTTTTTCATTCTTCTGCATATGGATATCCAGTTTTCCCTGAACCATTTATTGAAGAGACCATCTTTTCTCCAGTGTATGTTCTTGGCACCTTTGTTGAAAATGAGTTCATTGTAGGTGTGTGGATTTGTTTCTGGGTTTTCTATTCTGTTTTACTGGTCTATGTGTCTGTTTTATGCAGGTACCATGCTGTTCCGTTGCTATTGCTCTGTAGTGTGGTTTGAAGTCAGGTAATGTGATTCTGCCAGTTTTGTTCTTCTTGCTTGGGATAGCTTTCACTATTCTGGGTCTTTTGTGGTTCCATATAAATTTTAGAATTGATTTTTCTATTTCTCTGAGGAGTGCATTGGTACTTTGAGAGGGATTGTAACTAACTGTAGATTGTTTTGTGCAGTATGGATATTTTAACAATACTGATTCTTCTAATCCATGAACATGGAATATTTTCCCATTTTTCCTGTCAACTTCAATTTATTTCATCAATTTCTGATAGTTTTTATTGAGGACATCTTTCATTTCTTTGGTTTAATTAAGTCCTAGGTATTTAATTTTATTTGTTGTTATTATGAATGGAATTACTTTATTTCCTTTCACATTGCTCACTGTTGGCATATAGAAATGCTATTGGTTTTTGTATGTTGATCTCGTATCTGGCTACTTTACTGAATTTGTTTATCAGTCCTAATAGTTGTTTGGAGGAGTCTGCAGGTTTTTTCAAATATAAGATGATATCATCTGCAAACAAGGATAATTTGACTTCTTTTCCAACTTGAATGCCCCTTATTTCTTTCTCTTGTCTTATTCCTCTAGCTAGGACTTCCAGTACTATGTTGAAAAACAGTGGTGAAAGTGGGCGTGCTTGTCATGTTCCAGATATTAGAGGAAAGGCTTTCAGTTTTTCCCCATTCAGTGTGATATTAGCTGTTTGGCTGTCATGCATGGCTGGAGATAATTACGTAAGTAAAATAATCCAGACCAAAAAAAGGCAACATTGCATGTTCTTACTTATTTGTGTGATCTACAAATCAAACGAATTGCATTCATGGACATAGAGAGTAGAAGTCTGGTTACTAGAGGCTGGGAAGAATAGTAGGGTCTGGGGCAGGAGTTGGGGATAGTTATCGAGTACAAAAAATAGTTAGAATAAATAAGACCTATGATCTGATGGCACAATAGGGTGAGTATAGTCAATAACAATTCCACATTTTAAAATAACTTTAAGAGTATAATTGAATTGTTTGTAAATCAAAGCATAAATTCTTGAGGGGATTGCTACCTTACTGTCCATCATTTGCTTATTTCACATTGCATGCCTGTATCAGAACATGCTATGAACCCCACAAATATATACACCTACTATGTACCCAGAAATAAAAACTAAAGAATATTGTTAATATGTCCATACTATACAAAGCGATCCACAGATACAATGCCATCCTTACCAAAATTCCAATGACATTTTTCATAAAAATTAAAAAATCCTAAAATTTGTATGGAAACACAAAGGCCCTGAATAGCCAATGTAATTTTGAGTAAGAAGAACAAACCCTTGGTATATCACATTTCTTAAACTACATTACAATGCTACAGTAATAAAAACAGTATTGTACTATCATAAAAATAGACACGTAGACCAATGGAACAGAAGAGATCACAGAAATAAACCCACGTATGCAAAGTCAACTAATCATTGACAAGGACACCAAGAATACATAAGGAGGAGTGAATACACTAATAATGGTGTTGTGAGAACTGAATAGCCACATGCTAAAGAATTAAAATGAACTCTTATCTTATACCACGCACAAACATCAATTCAAAATGGATTAAATACTTAAACATAAGACAAAATACCTTAAAACTGCTGCTGGAATAAAACACAGAAAAAAGTTCTTTTACATTGTTCTTGGCAATGATTTTTTTTTTTAGAACGACCCTAAAAGCACAAGCAATAAAAGTAAAAGTAAAAAGTGAGATTACGCCAAACTGCAAAGCTTCTGCACAGCAAAGGAGACAATCCACTCATTGAAAAGACAAACTGGAATAATCGCAAACCATATATCTGATAATGAGTTGATATCAAAAATATATAATGAACTTATATAACACAATAGCACAAAAAACAAACAGATTAAACAATGGGCAAAGAATCTGCAGAGACAATTTTCCAAAGGAGGCATTCAGGTGGCTAAAAAGATAAGTGAAAAGATGCTCAACATCATGAATCATGAGGGAAATGAAGACTAAAACCACAATGAGATATCATCTTATACATGCTCAGATGGCTATTATCAAAAAGACAAATGATATGTGTTGGTGAGGGTGTCAAGTGAATCATTTTACAATATTGGTGGGAATGCAAATTGGTACAGCCACTATAGAAAAGAACATGTAGATGTATCAAAAAATAAAAATAGAATTACCTATGTCCAGCAATCCCACTTCTGGGTACATATTTATTGGAAATAAAATCATTATCCTGAAGTGATATCTGCACCCCCATGTTCATTGCAGCATTATTCCTAACAGCTAAGATATGAAAACAACATTATCTAGCTAGCTAGCTAATGGAATGCAACTCAGCCATAATAAGGAAAAAAATATTGCCATTTACAACAACATGGTTGAAACTGGAGTACATTATGCTAAGTAAAAAAGCTAGACACAGAAAGACAAGTACTGTATAATCTCACTTATGATGTGGATCCTTAAACAGTTAACATCATAGAAGGTGAGAGTAAAATGGTGGTTACCAGAGTGTGAAGGTAAGGAGGAAAAAGTGGGGATGTTCGTCAAAGGGTAGAAACTTTCAGTTGTAAGATGAATAAATTCTGGAGATCTAATGTACAGCACTGTAATCACAGTTAATACTGTATTGCATACTTGAAATTCGCTAACATAGTAAATCTTAATACTCTCACCACATACACACAAAATCAGAACTATGTGAGGTTATGTGTTAGCTTGTTTTCAGTAAATGTATCACAATGTCTACATATATCAAAATATCAAGTTGTACACCTTCAATATATACAATTTTTTTGTCAATTATACCTCAAAAAGCTGAAAAAATATGAGCAAAAGGGAGCATATTACAGGAAGGTTTTCAATGTAATAGAACAGATGTAATCTCACCTTAAATAAGTATATTTTCTGTTAAAGATCCTTTGGAATGATCAAGGAAAAAATAACAACACACACACACAGACACACAAAAACGGACAAGATCATCATACCTACAAAACAGAGCTTAATTTTAAAATATAAACCATGGTGGGTGGGAGGAAGGGTAAGGGGGGGAGAGAGTGGAAGGGAAGGAGGAGAGAGAGAAACACCCCTAATGAAATGATATTGGGGTATTCTTAAGAGATAAAACATGATCTAGTTTTAATGTGACTAGCAAACAACTCCATTCTGAAAATATCCAGGAGCAACTTTCACTGCAGTTTAATATGCTATTAAGTTCTATCAATGAAGCAGGTAACATTGCTTAAAAATTAATGAGAATTGAATAATTTGTGGGAGAAGATTAGTTTTTCATTTCTCACCATATATCGTTACCTTGTATCACCTATGAGGTTGAAAAAGTGTTATGTGTATTATTAGAAAATAAATAAAATTCACTTAAAACCTCAAGAGTTACTTAGAGTACTCTCTTGCTATGGAATGCTTAATAAGTGATCTAACGAATAAAGGCATCTAATTTTCTATCCTGGGGAATAATACCTGATATTAATGTCTCTAATTATCATAATAATTTACACCCATTTGATGCTTATTTACATGATAGATGGAGTACTTGCAGCATGTGCATTAGCTTATTAATTCATTACAAGATATTTGAGCTGTGTGTTCTACTTGTAATTCTACACCTCGGCATTGTCATGAGGTATAAACAAGTCAACGTATATGAAAATACTTGGAGAAACTCAAGAGCCACAGAGAAACACATAACTATATCATCACAGTATTATTTCCATTCTTGACAAAACACATTCTTTCATACTATATTGATTTCCTATTTAGAAGACATATACCTACCTAACAGCATGTAAGTACTTTGAGTAATTCTTCTAGAATCCTTAGATTAATACCTCTATTCAACTACCAATTTGCTACATGATATGTATACTGTGATACTGTTTTGCTAGTTAAAAAAATAAAGAAAAGCATTGATGTCAAGAATCCTGGTTATCTATATATCTATCAGAATATATATGTGTACATATGTGTATATCATTGATTCCATACATACCTACTCGGTCCCTAACCTGTGCAATGTTCTAGATTTGTATAGATGTTTACGCATGAAGAAGAATGTGAAAATAGAGGGGACAGACACTTAACATTGGTTAAAACAAAGATATGGAAGCAAACATTTGTGGAGGAGGTCATTAATTTATTTTTAATATATTTTTACTTAATGTGACTAGTTAGGCTAAAAAAACACTAATTATAGCTTTTATTAGAAAATATAAATTTCTTAGGTAAGAAGGAAGCTAGGCTAATCATTTGCTTTAGGATTTTAAGCAAGTAACTGATCCTGTAAAAGCTGTGAGATTTATTCATATGCAAAAGAAGATAATACACATATTCTGCATTAAAGCTAATAATAACAATAATTAATGACAGTGGTTATACTTGTTTAATTAAGGTTTACTTATACTGACAAGAGAAACAAGTTATATAAAATTATTAAAACATAAGAATCAACTATTTCAATATTTATTAAAAAAAAAAGAAATATTTACCAATAAAGAAAAAGTCTTTATAACCTGCTATATATCCATGTGGGGGATGGGCAGACTATATATTGTAAAGTGGCTGAGTTTTCTAAATTTTATAATTTAGCTATAATCATTACTAAATACAAATACAATACTGTAGTAAATTGGAGAAAGCAAAATTACTGTTAGTTGCTACTTATATAGGGCTGAAAAAAGTAACTCTGGGATAATAAAGAGTAAGAACTGGTATCTGGTCTGCTAAACCCAGGTGATTACTGTTTTGTTGTGGGGTGGTGTTTGTTTTATTTCTGTCGAGGCATAACATACACACAGAAAAGTACACAGAGCACGTGTGTAGCTCCATGAATCTTTATAAAATGAATACACCCTAAGTGAAATTTTAAAACTAAAATTATTTAAACAGTGCGATTCAAGCATTTATAATGAGACGTTGCTGAACAAAGTTGATGTTAATTAGAAATAATCAACACATATACTCTTAATTTATAACATATCCGCACAATTCCTTACAGGAGCTCAACATTTGAAAATCAAAGCATGAATATGTAGGTCATTTAAATAAGATGATACTCCATATGTAAAAAGGAGAATATATTTACCTGATAGTAGCAAAGACAATAGGACTTAAAATAGAAAAAAAAATAAGAATTCCTATATTTGCATTGCTTTCCATGGGTCAGCCGTTGCCCTCTAGACTTTTATTTTGTCTCACTTAATCCCTACCAGAATTATTTACTACTCACGGTATATATTCGTATTCCCCATTTATCTAATGCATCAAATGTGCCGAAAATGTAAAAATGTTTTTATTATTTTTTAACCAGCATATACATATTAATACTATCAGAACATCAGAATCCAGGATCAAGTAACACATTTGGGGTTGCCAGCCCTTACCTATCATTACATTGGAGCATGGTCAGCACTCTCATTTAAATCTATGGTTAATAATCAGTATTAAGACAAATGACATCAAGGCCCATCAAAGAAGTTTTAATGTAAGTTCCCACTAAAGCAGAAATGAACAACCTTGGCCTCAAATACAAGGACTGGGAGGTGAGGCATGAAATGAGGATCCATAAGCAATCTGTTGGATGTAGTAAATATTTGGTGATATTATTTCAAGGGACCCTATAATAAAAATACTATTATCCTTAGAGACAATTCAAAATAATATAACTTAAAATAAATGGAAGCCAACAATTTAGAAATGCATGCAAAAAAGACATAGGTTAAAAAAAATAGTTTCTATGTAGTCTAAAGATAATCAAGTAGAACACACAATTGCAAAAAACAAAAACTGACGGACAACAGAAAACTTAAAAGGTAAGTTAGCAATCACTAACATTGTAAAAAATACTTTAGCAAGCATATTAAGTGAATTTAAAACTTTATAGTATAATATAAAATAAAGGATCACTGGACATATACCCATAATCATGTATTGGAAGATTCAACACTGTAAAAAATGTTCATTTGCCTGAAAATACTTTACAATTTTAGGTCAAGAATACAGGTGGATAAAAACATTTTAATTTACTACTGGTATTTGGCAAAACGTTATTGCAGGTTAGGAGCAAAGATAAGATAGTAAAATTAATCAAGCTGACCTCAAGACTAAAGTAATATGTAAAAATTCTTATACCATCACTAAGGAATAAAGGGACTTTGTCATAAGAGCAAAAATAATTTTAAAAGATGGGCCAAAGGAGCAAATTTATAAAGAATTTTTTTTTTGGTGGGGGTGGATAATTCTGTATTTGAGGGAATAAGAAAGTTAAATATTAGTTTACATGAGACACAAAATTTGAGCTGGAAGGATATACATAAAGTTTTTGAGTAGAAAAGCAATTTACTGAATAATATACATATATGTACATATATATACACACACATATATATATACACACACATATATATATACACACACACATATATATATACACACTATAACCTTGTTTTCCTAAGGTGAATAAAAGTGAAAACAAATTCCCCATGTGTCTACATAAGACTACAGTACATGAAAATGCATAGTAACAAAAAGTACATGTCTGCTTGAGCAACAGGAGAATGTGGGTACCCATATAACTGGTTGCTCCTAATGCATACCTGGAAGCGTGGCTGGAAGTACACTCAGAAGGGGAATGGTAACACAAAATTATCACTTTCTCTGTATCTATTTTAGCAATAACAATTATCTTTTCTTTTTTCTAACAAAATATTTAAGAGAGAAAATATATTAAAAAATGTGGGCTGGACGTGGCGGCTCACACCTGTAATCCCTGCACTATGGGAGGCCAAAGTGGGCAGATCACCTGAGGTTGAGACCAGCCTGGCCAACATGGAAAAACCCCATCTCTACTAATAATACAAAAAATCTGCTGGGCATGGTGGTGCACGCCTGTAATCCTAGCTACTCGGGAGGCTGAGGCAGGAGAATTGTTTGAACCTGGGTAGGCAGAGGTTGCAGTGAGCCAAGATCGCACCACTGCGCTCCAGCCTGGGTGACAGAGCATGACTCTGTCTCACAAAAAAAAAAAAAAAAAAGAAAAGAAAAGTGAAAAAAAATACTTGGGCAAGGCCTTTTTTTTGTGACATACCAAATGGTATCTAATCACACCAATTTCAAGTTCACCTCTGTGATGGTTAATACTGAGTGTCAACTTGATTAGATTAAAGATACAAAGTATTGATCCCAGGCATATCTGTGAGAGTATTGTCAAAAGAGACTAACATTTGAGTCAGTGGGCTGGGGAAGGCAGATCCACCCTTCATCTGGTGGGCACAATCTAATCAGCTGCCAGCGAATACAAAGCAGGCAGAAAAATGTGAAAATGAGAGACCGGCCTAGCCTCCCAGCCTACATCTTTCTCCCACGCTGGACGCTTCCTGCCCTCGAACATCCAACTCTAAGTTCTTCAGTTTTGGGACTCAGACTGGCTCTCCTTGCTCCTCAGCTTACAGACAGCCTATTGTGGGACCTCACTATCATGTTATGTAATACTTAATAAACTCCCCTTTATATTTATATATATCCTTCCTGTTAGTTCTGTCCCTCTAGAGAACCCTGACTAATATAACCTCACATGTATACATGAATGAATATTAACTTAATAAGAACAAAAGCAGCATACATAATTATATATTACTTATATAAGGTCAGGCGCTTCGTCTATTTACATAAGTTTTCAAATTTTCTATTAACAAAAGTCATGAAATAGTAATATTAAATAGGACTACTTTTACTACATTAACATTTTTGCAGAAATAAGGTGAAGCAGCTGATGTCACAAATACAATGAATTATAATAGACAAATTTGATGGAAAACATAGAAAATAGCTTAACATCTAAGAATTCATATTAATAACAAGATTGGCTCTATATTAATCCATTTTCACACTGCTATAAAGAACTACCTGAGACTGTGTAATTTATGAATCGAAGAGTTTTGATTGACTCACAGTTCCCCAGGCTTAACAGGAAGCCTGTCTGGGAGGCTTTAGAAAACTTACAAGCAGGGCAGAAGAAGAACAGGAATCAAGCATTTTTTCACATGGTGGGAGGAAGAGAGAGAGTGAGGGGGGCAAGTGCCACAAACTCTGATACAACCAGATCTCATGAGAACTCACTATTATGAGAACAGCAAGGGGGAAGTCTACACCCATGTTTCAATCACCTCTCACCTGGCCCCTCCCCCAACTCATGGGGATTGTAATTCTAGATGAGATTTGGGTGGGGACAAAGAGGCAAACCATATCAGGCTCCCAACTAGAGCCCAAATACTCAGCAGGAGCTGGATGTTAGAATGCTCTCTGATAATGAGTCATTACCTTTTAATATGGCTAAACATCTTTCACACAATAAAGTCCCTAAAGAATCTATGCTTGCGATGACTACACGCACAACAGTGAAAGAGCTAGCCTCAAATTGTATACCGCATAATGACCTATGCGTCAGATTTCAGACAGTATTAAACAAGACAGTGCTGTCTGACTTCTGAGACATGGCAAAAAAAATTAGCACTCATAACACAATAAATCAACATGACATTCTTTTAATATCACCATGTTCAAACATGTATTTTAATACTCTCTGTAGAAACCTAGAGAATTAGAGAAAGTTAGGTTAATGTTGAACTCCAGAAGTAACAGCTCAGGTAAATAAACAGAATCCCAGATAATCAAAAGTAGTGAGAAATTTTCAATTCTGGGATGGTAACAATAAGCAGCTTTGCAAATTCACTCTCTAGGGCATGGTCAAAAACAAGAGTGGATAGCAGAGCAAGATGATGAAATAGAAGCTTACACTCTTTGTAACCCTTCAGAAACACCAAGTTTTAACAACTATCTGCACACAAAAAAGGACTGTCATGAGAACCTGAGCAACTATGAGCAATCACAATCACAGTACCTAGTTTTTACTTCATATAATTAAAAAAAAGCATTGAAGAGGGTCAGAGAGACTGTCTTGAATCAATGATGCCCCCCTCCCCGCCCATGCCCTTGGCAGCAGCCCTGCAGTCTGGAGAGTCTGTGCATTTGGAGGAGGGACAGCGTAGTGACTGAGGGGATCTAGCATTGAAATGAGTGCTACCCTATCATAGCAGAGAGCAAAGCCGTGCAGGGCTCAGCCACTGACCACATACAGAAGCAACATTTGGACCAGACCTAGCCAGAGGGGAATTGCCCATCCCATTGGTCCAAACTCGAGTTTCTTGGCAAGCCTTGCTACTGCAGACTAAAGTGCTCTGGGGTCCTATGTACACTTGAAGGGCAGTCTAGGATGCAGGGACTGCAATTCCTGGACAACTCCTAGTGCTGGGATGGACTTAGAGCCAGAGGACTAGGACTGGGGTGGCAAGTAACTGAGGGAGACACTAGCCAGGGCAGCTAAAGCAGTGCTTACACCAATCCTCCCTCAACTCCAGGCAGTGCAACTCACAGCAGTGAAAGTGTCTCCTTCTTTCTGCTTAATGGGAGGAGGGAAAAGGGTAAAGAGAACTATGTCTTGCATCTTGGATACCAGCTCAGGCACAGTAAGATAGGGCACCAGGCAGAGTCATGAGGCCCCCATTTTAGGACCTAGCTCCCAGATGACATTTCTAAACACATTTTGGGCCAAAAAGGAATGACCCAGTACTGGCAGGATTCATCACCTGCTGACTAAAGAGCCCTTGGGCCCTACATAAGCAGCAGTGATACCTCAGGAGTATGCCATGGACAATGAGCTCTGAGATGTGCTGACTCTTAGTGTGACTCAGTATATTCCCAGCTATGGTGGCTACAGGGAAAGACTCCTTCTGTTTTAGAAAAGCAGAGGGAAAAGTAAAGGGGACTTTGTCTTTCACCTTAGGTTCCAGCTTGGCTACAGTGGTGTAGAGCAACAAGCAGGCCCTTGGGGTCCCCAGGTTGAGGCCTAAGCTCTTGGACAGCATTCCTGGACGTGCCCTGGGCCAGAAGAGAGCCCACTTCTCTGAAGGGTGAGTCTCAGACCTGGGAGAATTCACACAAACTCACTGACGAGCCCTTAGGTTTTAACTGAACATGAGAGATGGCCCAGCAGAATTCCCCCATGGGCTGGTGGTGGTGGTTCCCACAGGGACAGGTTCCTCTGCTTGTGAAAAGGGGAGAGAAGAGTAGGAAGGACTTTATACTGTGCTTTGCTTGCCAGTGTAGCTGTAGCAGAGTAGAACATCAGGCAAATTTCTAAGTTTTTGACTCTAAACCCTGGTTCCCAGACAGCATCTCTGGACCTGCCCAGGGCCTGGGAGAACTCACTGTCCTAAAGGGAAGGACACCAACATGGCTGGCTTTGCCACCTGCTGATTTGAGAGCCATAGGGCCTTGAGTAAACATAAGTCAATGGACCTTGGGCAAGATCCAGTGCTGTGCTGGATTCAGTTCTAACCCAGTGAAGTCCCAGTAGAGGGAAACACAGGAGTACTTGTGTCACTGCATCCTCAGTTCCAGGTGGCTCAGCAGAGAGAGAGAGAGAGAGAGAGAGAGAGAGAGAGAGAGAGAGAGAGACTGACTCTGTTCGGGAGAAAGAAAGGGATGATAACAAGAGTCTCTGGCTGGTTATCCAAAGAATTATTGCAGATCATATAAAAGGCCACCAAGGCTGTGTCTCTATGAGTCTGCAAAAAATACAGTAATATTGGACTTGGGATCCAATTCTCTTTGAATGTATATTTACCTGGCCCTAGAGCACATAGCTATATAAGCCAAATATTATTAGAGATAAAGAGAGAGATAGACCACAATACAAAAATAGCTGGAGACTTCAAACCAAACTTTCAGAAATGGACAGATCTCCCAAACAGAATCTCAACAAAGAAACATCAGACTTTATCTGCACTATAGAACAAATTGGCCTAGTAGATATTTACAGAACATTTCACCCAATGACTGTAGAATACACATTCATTTCCTCAACACAATGATCATTCTCAAGGACAGATCATATGTTAGGTCATAAAACAAATCTGAAAGCATTCCAGATAATTAAAACAATATCAGTCATCTTCTCTGAACACAATAGAATAAAACTAAAAATGAAAAGAGAAGTTTTTGAAGCTATACAAATACATAGAAATTAAATAATATACACCTGAATGACCAGTGAGTCAATGAAGAGCTTAAGAAAAAAAATTTAAAAATGTATATAGAGACACGACATAGCAAATCCTATGGTATTCAATGAAAACAGTAGTAAAAGGGAATTTTATAGATATAAGAGCCTATGTGAAAAAGGAACAAAAACTTTAAAGAAAAAAACTGACAATGCACCTTAAAGAATTAGAAAAGTAAGAACAAACAAAACCCAAAATCAGTTAAAAAAAGGAAATAATATCAAAGCATAAATAAATAAAATGGAAATGGAAAAATACAATATGAAAGATAAATGAAAAGTTGGTTTTTTGAAAAGTTAAACAACGTTAACAAACTTTTAACCAGACTAAGAAAACAAGAGAGAAGGTCCAAGTAAATACAATCAGACATAAAAAAAGAGCCATTGCAACTGACACTGCAGAAAGATAATTAGTGGCTACCATGAGCAACTATGTGTTAATAAATTGGAAAATCTAGAGGAAATGGATAAATTCCTAGACCCATAAAACCTACCAAGACTAAAACAGGAAGAAATCCAAAACCTGAATAGACAAATAGCAAGTAATGAAATTGAAGCCATCATAAAAAGTCTCCCAGTAAATGAAAGCCTGGGACCCAATGGCTTAACTGCTGAATTCTACCAAAGCTTTAAAGAAGAACTGATATCAATCCTACTTAATCTAGTCAAAATGATAGAAGAAAAAATATCTCTGAACTTATTCTATGAAGTCAGAATTATCCTGATAAAAAAGCCAAAGACACATTAAAAAAAAAAGAACACTACAGGCCAGTATCTTTAATAAATATTTATGCAAAGATCCTCAACAAAATACTAGCAAACCAAATTAAAAAATACATTACAAAGATCATTCATCACGACCAATTGAGATTTGTCCCAGGGATGTAAGGATGGTTCCAAAGATGCAAATCAATGTCATAGATTATATCAAGAGAATGAAGGACAAAAACCATATGACCATTCCAATTAATGTTGAAAAAGCATTTAATAAAATTCAACATCCCTTCACACACAAAAAAGTGGACATAGAAGGAATATACATCAAAATAATAAAAGCCATATATGACAGGCTCCCTATTAGTAGTACACTGAATGGGAAAATTGAAAGGCTTTCCTCTAAGACCTGGAACATGACAAACATGCCAACTTTCATGACTGTTATTCCACATAGTACTGGAAGTGGTGACTAGAGCAATGAGACAAGAGAAAGATATAATGGGCATTTAAATTGAAAGGGAAGAAGTCAAATTATCCTTGTTAGAAAGTGATATGATTTTGTATTTGGAAAAACCTAAAAACTCTAAAAGAAAAACTACTACAACTGTTAAATAAATTCAGTAAAGTTGCCAGATACAAGATCAACATACAAAAATCAGTAGCATTTCTATATGCCAACAGTGAAGAATCTGAAAAAGAAATAAGAAAGTAATCACTTTTACAATAGCCACATGAAATATGATATGCCTAGGAATTAACCCAAAAAGTGAGAGATCTTCATAATGAAAACTATAAATCACTGATAAAAGAAATTGAAGAAGACATAAAAAAAGACAAATATTCCATGTTCATGGATTAGAATAATTAATAGTGTTAAAATGTTGATACTACTGAAAGCAATCTACAGATTCAATGCAATCTATATCAAAATACCAGTGAAATTCTGCACAACAATTGAAAAACCAATTCTAAAATTTATGTGGAATCACAAAAGCCCCAGAAAGGTCAAAGCTGTCTTAAGCAAAAAGAACAAAACTGGAAAAATCATATTACCTCACTTCAAATTATACTACAGAGCTATAGTAATCAAAACTGCATGGCAGTGGCATAAAAATAGACAAATAGACCAATGGCAAATGAACAACCCAGAAACAAATCCACCCACCCTCAGTGAACTCATTTTTAACAAAGTTGCCAAGAACATACCTTGAAGAAAGAACATTGTCTTCAATAAATAGTGCTGGGAAAACTGGATCTATATGCAGAAAAATGAGGCTAGAACCAATCTCTTACCATATACAAAAATCAAATCAAAATTTATTACAGACTTAAATTTAAGATCTCAAACTATGAGTCTACTAGAAGAAAACATTGGGGAAACTCTCTAAGACATTGATCTAGGCAAAAATTTCTTAAGTCATAACTCCCAAGCATAGAAAACCAAAGAAAAAACTGGACAAGTGAGATTACATAAAGTTAGAAAGCTTCTGCACAGTGAAGAAAACATTCAACAAAGTGACGATGCAACCCTCTGAATCAGGGAAAATATTTATAAACCACCAATTTGACAAGGGATTAATAACCAGAATATATAAGGAGCTCAAACAATTCTATAGGAAAAGATCTAAATGGACAAAAGATTTAAAATTATCAAAAGTAGACATACAAATGACAAACAGGTATATGAAAAGGCACTCAAAATCACTGATCTTCAGAGAAATGCAAATCTGAGCCATAGTGAGATATCCTCTCACCTCAGTTAAAACGGCTTATATCCAAAAGGCAGTCAATAAAAATGCTGATGAGGATATGAAGAAAATGAACCCTCATATACTGTTGATAAGAATGTAAATTAATACAACCATTATGAAGAACTGTCTGGAGGGTCCTTAAAAAACTAAAAATAGAGCTACCTTATGATCTGTCAATCCTACCCCTGGGTATATGCCCCAAAGAAGGGAATATAATATATCAAAGATCTATCTGAACTCCTATGTTTGTTGTGGCACTGTTCAAAATAGTCAAGATTTGGAAGCAACCTAAATGTCTGATATAGTTTGGCCGTGTCCCCACACAAATTTCATCTTGAATTCCCATGTGTTGTGGGCGGAACCCAGTGGGAGGTAATTGAATCGTGGGGCCAAGTCTTTCCCATGCTCTTCTAATGATAGTGAATAAGTCTCATGAGATCTGATGGCTTTAAAAAAAGGAGTTCCCTACCAAGCTCTCTCTCTTTGCCTGCCGCCATTCATGTAAGATGTGACTTGCTCCTCCATGCCTTCCACCATGACTATGAGGCTTCCCCAGCCACGTGGAACTGTAGGTCAATTAAACCTCTTTCTTCTGTAAACTTTCCAGTCTCAGGTATGTCTTTTTCAGGAGTGTGAAAACAGACTAATACAGTAAATTGGCACCAGTAGAGCAGAGCATTGCTGAAAACATACCCAAAAATGTGGAAGTGACTTTGGAACTGGGTAACAGGGAGAGGTTGGAACAGTTCGGAGGGCTCAGAAGAAAGGAAAATGTGGGAAAGTTTGGAACTTCCTAGAGACTTGTTGAATGGCTTTGACAAAAATACTGATAGTCCAGGCTGAGGCGGTCTCAGAGATGAGGAACTTGTTGAGAACTGGAGCAAAGGTGACTTGTGTTATGTTTTAGCAAAGAGACTGATGGCATTTTGTCCCTGCCCTAGAGATCTGTGGAACCTTAAACTTGAAAAAGATTATTTAGGGTATCTTTCAGAAGACATTTCTAAGCAGCAAAGCATTCACGAGGTGACTTTGGTGCTGCTGGGTGCTGTTACGGGTGCTGTAAAAAGCATTCAGTTTTATAAGGGAAGCAGAGCATAAAAGTACAGAAAATTTGCAGCCTGACAATGTGATAGAAAAGAAAATCCCATTTTTCTGAGGAGAAATTCAAGCCAAGCCGGATGCAGAAATTTGCATAAGTAACAAGGGGCTGAATGTTAATCCCCAAGACAATGGGGAAAATGTCTCTAGGACATTTCAGAGATCTTCAGGGCAGTTCTTTGCCCCCTCCGCCATCACAGGCCTAGAGGTCTAGGAATAAAAAGTGGTTTTTGTGGGCCAGGTCAAGAGTCCCCATGCTATGTGCAGCCTAGGGACTTGGTGCCCTAAGTCTCAGCTGCTCCAACCATGACTAAAAGGGGCCAATATAGAGCTCAGGCTGTGGCTTGAGAGGCTGCAAGCCTCACGTCTTGGCAGCTTTCATGTGGTGTTAAGCCTGCGAGTGCACAAAAGTCAAGAATTGAGGTTTGGGAACCTCTGCCTAGATTTCAGAAGATGTATGGAAATGCCTGAATATCTAGGCAGAAGTTTGCTGAAGGGGCAGGGCTCTCATAGAGGAACTCTGCTGGGCAGTGCAGAAGGGAAATGTGGGGTTGGAGCACCCACACAGAGTCTGGACTGGGGAACTGCCTAATGGAGCTGTGAGAAGAGGGCCACCATACTCCAGGTCCATAATGGTACAGCCACTGACAGCTTGCACTGTGCACCTGGAAAGGCTGCAGATGGTTAATACCAGCCTGTGAAAGCAGCTGGAAAGAAGGCTGTAGCTTGCAAAGCCACAGGAGCAGAGCTGCCCCAGACCATGGGAACACCTCTTTCATCAATGTGACCTAGATATTAGACATGGAGTTGAAGGAGATCATTTTGGAGCTTTAAGATTTGACTGGTCCACTGGATTTGAGACTTGCATGGGCCCTGTAACTCCTTTATTTTATTAGATATGAGTTCTAAATTTCTCTTCAAAGAATCAATATGTCAGTATGTTCAATTCTTTGCCTTCTACTTTTAAACTTAACTTCCTCATAAATAAACATTTTTCGATCACCTGCTCCACCCTGACTCCCGCCAAACCACTCACCCTGTCCCTCTCTTTAAATTAGCCAATCAGAATTGGTGTAGCCTGTGTGGTCTAACCCTAGCTAATAGGGGAATGACACAGCAGCAGGGGCCACATGCGTCAGGGATAAGAACTCCTCCCCCTCCTTTGTCTAAGTGTGTGCTCACCATCGCTCCATCTGTAAGGGCGCACGCTTCTATAGAATTACATTGCCTTGCTGAGAATTAAAAAGGAAATTTCATATTGGTGTGCTGTTTCTTTTGTAGCACCGAAACTTTATAACAATTTAGGGGCTCATCCATGATTACATTCCCCTCTGGGGGCGGTCTCTGGTTCTCTCTCGTGAGAAGGCATGCCCCGCCTCCTTATGGCAGCCTCAGGGGTGAGAAATCAGGACTCACCCAGTGCAGGAAATAACCCGAGCTCTCAGCAACGTGAAAAGAAACTGGCCAGCGACCTAGGGTAAAGGATACTCACATTCTGCGGCAATGACTGTGCAGAGACCAAGGAAGGAGAAGCCACTGGAGCCAGTGAAGTAGTTCCTTGGTGGTCAGATTCTGGAGGGCTGAATGTGTGTGTGCGTGAATGATCACAAACAACTCTGCTTGCAGTGTTGTTCATGTGGATGGTGACAAGTCCTGCTGCTGGATGGAGTGAATGGGTCCTCTCTGTGAGTGGGAAGTGTGCAAAGGACCTTCAGAGGGGAAAAGGGGGGAAACAGGTCAAGCTTCCAGGACAGGCAAGGCAAGACACCCCTGGTTTGAGGGGTTGAGCCTTCCAGAGCAGGCAAGGCAAGACACCCCTGGTTTGAGGGGTTGAGACTTCCAGGGCAGACAAGGCAGGACACCCCTGGTTTGAGGGGTTGAGACTTCCGCTAATTTCAAGGGTTGGACCTCACATAAACCCCCACTTTTCTTTCTTCTTGGGGGAAGGAAGAGTAGTTCCACTCCTGCTGGTCCCTCCTCTAGGGAAAGGTGAAGGAGAGGGGAGAACAGCAGCATACGTGGCTGGCAGAGGCAAGGAAAGACCAGTAGAGAGGAGGGAGGGAGAGGGAAAGCACAGAGAGAGAGAGAGAGAGAGAGAGAGAGAGAGAGAGAGAGAAGGAGTCAGAAAGAGACAGAAAGTCAAAGAGAGAAAGAAAGAGAAGTAATAAAGAGAAAACAGTGTACCCCATTCCTTTAAAAGCCAGGGTAAATTTAAAACCTATAATTGATAATTGAAGGTCTTCTCCGTGACCCTATAACACTCCAATACCACCTTGTTGTCAGCGTAAACAAGGGCATAGCCCAAGAGCACTGAGGCCACTGACAACCCATAGCCTTCCTAATCAAAAATCCTTAACCCAGTAACCTGTGGATGGCCCAGATACATTCAATCTGTAGTGATAACTGCTTTGCCAAAAGAAGGAAGTATGAGGAGACTCTGTTAAAAAAAAAGATGATTCAACATTAACCACTAAAAATTCCCTTAACCCAGCAGGTTTCCTAACAGGGGATCTAAATCTTAATTAATTACTATAGAAAGGTCCAGACCATACCTAGGAGGAACTCCCTTTAGGACAGGACAATAGATTGTTCCTCCTGGGTGATTGAGGGAAAAAGGCACAATGGGTATTCAGTAATTGACAGGGAAACCCTTGTAGAAGCAGTGTTAGGAAAATTGCCTAATAATTGGTCTGCTCAAACGGGCGAGCTGTTTGCACTCAGCCAAGCTTTAAGTATTTACACAACCAGGAAGGAACCATCTATACCAATTCTAAGTTAATTTGGACTAAACAAGGTCTTATTAATAGCAAAGGATAAATGAAATCCCAAACTTACAAGGTTTTCAACAAAAGTAAAGTTTGCTAAAAGTTAACAGTGTAACATGTATTATCCTAACTTCTAATCTTGCAGCCTTAGGCAGTCTAGCCCACAGACATGAAGGAAGTTTGATCTGGAGAAGAATAGAAAAAAAAAAGTGGGGGGAGGGGAAGAATTTATATAGAAAGAATGTTATATGGTAAATTCTTGTCCTAAAATAAATTAACTGGTTGTTTAAAGAAAGGGATGTTTGCAACAAGTCAGAAGGTTGAGGTATGTTGATGACTGTGAAAGTCGTGGAAAAAAAGTTATAAAAGGGAATTTATGAAAGAAATATTGTACAATTTGAAAGTAATTAGGCCTCCTGAATGTAAAACTATTGAAGAAACAGTTTATGTGCAAGGTGTGCAAGGAAAGTAAAATATACTTTTGGTAAAAGGATTATAAAGCGGCATAAGAATGTGGATTTTTTACCTACATTAAAAGGTTAAAAAATTTGATTTAAAGGTTTAAGCAAGTTTTAAAATGTTAATTGTAAAAGAAATTCTGTGTGTAAACATATTGTTAAAGGGGTATCATCCAGTCTTTCTGTGAACTGGAAATCAAAATAAAAGCACAACAGGGTTTTCTTAAATCACCATCCTGCTCTTTAACAAAAATTATAAAAGGTTAAAAAATGTCTATAAGGCCAGGCGCGGTGGCTCACGCCTGTAATCCCAGTACTTTAGGAGGCCGAGGCAGGTGGATCATGAGGTCAGGAGATCAAGACCATCCTGGCTAACACAGTGAAACCCCGTCTCTACTAAAAATACAAAAAATTAGCCGGGCGTGGTGGCGGGCACCTGTAGTCCCAGCTACTTGCGAGGCTGAGGCAGGAGAATGGCGCGAACCCGGGAGGCAGACCTTGCAGTGAGCTGAGATCGCGCCACTGCACTCCAGCCTGGGCGACAGAGGGAGACTCCGTCTCAAAAAAAAAAAAGCGTCTATAAAAATCTTATCTTATTGTCACACGTTAAAATTGGATAAATATGTCTACAAGGTTTTATTAAAATTGAGTTTAGCATTAATAACACACTAATATAAAGGTGACATTTAGCTTATCTGGTATAAAAAATCATACAGGAAGCATTGTCAAATATGAAATGGTATTTGGCTTTCTTTGGTCTAAAAACTAATAAAAATAGAGGCTAAAGGAAATTTCTCAGTAAGAAGGCACCAAGGACTATAAAGTCGACTGCTGATGTCCCCACATTTAAAACAAAAGATTAATTTCTTAGAAATGATATACTTGGTTTATCTTCCACTTTCCTTTCTCGCAAAACTAAACGTCTTTTAGCACAGGTACCACCCCTAGAATTTCCGGTAAACCAGCACCAGCCTGAGGATCACGTGCTCATTGAAGGGTGAAAAGAAGGAAAACTCGAGCAGCCTGGGAAGGACCCTACTTTGTGCTGCTAACCACCAAGACTGCTGTTCATACAGAGGAAAGGGAATGGACTCAACACACCCGAGTCAAGAAAGCGCCAATCCCTCCAGAGTTGAAGGCCATAGTCCCAGGGGAAAACCCTACCAAACCAAAGCTAAGAAAAATTTAACTCTCTTTCATCTATTCTATTACTCTTTCTTCTTTCCTCACTCTATTGCTGACCATCTAGTTATTAACATAATGAAGTCAACTTCATCTCAAACTACAGGATTTGATGCTTGCCTTGTTATATCCTGTGGGGACTTGCCAAGTCAAACACAGCTCTCTACTTCAGAAAAGTACCTCTGTCCCTCCTGACTCTCCTCAGATTGGGCATTAGTGAATTGGGACCATTTAATCTGGGGAGATTTTCATTAAGACTCCAGGGTCAACCAGGAGTCTTGTCCCTCCAGTGCAGAGCTTTTATGCAATAGTTGGTCCAACATTCTGTGGACCACTAAAGAGCAAGGATGGAATGCCCCAATTGGTTTTTGTAATTTCCTAAAACCATACATTCATTTTACTAGAGGGACAGCACCCCCCCAGCCCCCAAACTGTCAGCTAAACCAGTGCAATCCTATACAGGTTATTATCTCGAATCCTCAAAGTTCTTCTCCTTTTCTTCCCTTCTTTAAGCCGGTTTTATGGTATGGGGGCTGAGGTTTCAGGGACAGACCCTATCAGATTCTTTGAAATGCGTTTCTTTGATCCCCCGCCACCTCCACCTTCCTCTAAGCCTTCTTCCAAAACCTCTCACAACGGGATAATTGCTCCTCCTCCATCTAACCACAAGAACAAGATAGCTATCGTAGAAAAACAAGCAATGGGGAAAGGATTCCCTATTTAATAAATGGTGCTGGGAAAACTGGCTAGCCATATGTAGAAAGCTGAAACTGGATCCCTTCCTTACACCTTATACAAAAATCAATTCAAGATGGATTAAAGATTTAAACGTTAGACCTAAAACCATAAAAACCCTAGAAGAAAACCTAGGCAATACCATTCAGGACATAGACGTGGGCAAGGACTTCATGTCCAAAACACCAAAAGCAATGGCAACAAAAGCCAAAATTGACAAATGGGATCTAATTAAACTCAAGAGCTTCTGCACAGCAAAAGAAACTACCATCAGAGTGAACAGGCAACCTACAACATGGGAGAAAATTTTCGCAACCTACTCATCTGACAAAGGGCTAATATCCAGAATCTACAATGAACTCAAACAAATTTACAAGAAAAAAACAAACAACCCCATCAAAAAGTGGGCAAAGGACATGAACAGACACTTCTCAAAAGAAGACATTTATGCAGCCAAAAAACACATGAAGAAATGCTCATCATCACTGGCCATCAGAGAAATGCAAATCAAAACCACTATGAGATATCATCTCACACCAGTTAGAATGGCAATCATTAAAAAGTCAGGAAACAACAGGTGCTGGAGAGGATGTGGAGAAATAGGAACACTTTTACACTGTTGGTGGGACTGTAAACTAGTTCAACCATTGTGGAAGTCAGTGTGGCGATTCCTCAGGGATCTAGAACTAGAAATACCATTTGACCCAGCCATCCCATTACTGGGTATATACCCAAAGGACTATAAATCATGCTGCTATAAAGACACATGCACACGTATGTTTATTGCGGCACTATTCACAATAGCAAAGACTTGGAACCAACCCAAATGTCCAACAATGATAGACTGGATTAAGAAAATGTGGCACATATACACCATGGAATACTATGCAGCCATAAAAAATGATGAGTTCATGTCCTTTGTAGGGACATGGATGAAATTGGAAACCATCATTCTCAGTAAACTATCGCAAGAACAAAAAACCAAACACCGCATATTCTCACTCATAGGTGGGAATTGAACAATGAGATCACATGGACACAGGAAGGGGAATATCACACTCTGGGGACTGTGGTGGGGTCGGGGGAGGGGGGAGGGATAGCATTGGGAGATATACCTAATGCTAGATGACACGTTAGTGGGTGCAGCGCACCAGCATGGCACATGTATACATATGTAACTAACCTGCACAATGTGCACATGTACCCTAAAACTTAGAGTATAATAAAAAAAAAAAAATTAAAAAAAAAAAAAAAAAGACTTAAAACAAACTTTGGCAATTAAGACAGGATACCAAGATGCAAATGCCTGGTTGGAATGGATCAAATATTCCATCCACACGTTAAACAAAAGCAATTGTTATGCTTGTGCACACAGCAGGCCAGACACCCAGATTGTCCCCTTTCCACTAGGGTGGTCTTCCAGTTGACCAGGCATGGGCTGCATAGTAGCTCTTTTCCAGGATTCCACAGCCTGGAGTAACAAGTGGTGCCATGCTCTCGCTCTGCTATATCCCGAAATCTGGCACCCTGTGGGTTAGCCCCAGAGGGCCATCCAGCTTCAGTCTCCCAACATTAAGTTCACTTCATGTCTCTCATGACAGGGAGGAAGCTTAGTGTTACTTGAAGACCTGAAGGGATGCAGTGAGCTTAAGAATTTTCAAGAGCTTATCAATCAGTCAGCCCTTGTTCATCCCCGAGTGGATGTGTGGTAGTATTGTGGTGGACCTTTACTGGACACTCTGCTGAATAACTGGAGTGGCACTTGTTCTTTAGTCCAATTAGCTATCCCTTTCATCCTGGCATTTCATCAACCAGAGGAAGGAAAAATAAGACATTATAAAGCGAGGGAAGTCCCTTATGGGTCTTTTGACTCTCACCTCTATATAACGCAATTGGAGTCCCAAGGGGAATACCAGATCAACTTAAAGCCCGAAATCAAATAGCTGCAGGATATGAGTCAATATCTTGGTGGGTGACAACTAATAAAAATATAGATTGGATAAACTACATCTACTACAACCAACAGTGATTTATTAACTACACTAGAGATGCTGTTAAAGGAATAGCTGAGCCATTAGGGGCTACTGGCCAGATGGCTTGGGAAAATAGGATAGCCTTTGACATGATATTAGCAGAAAGAGGAGGAGTTTGCATCATGATTAAAACTCAATGTTGTACCTTCATCCCAAACAACATCACCCCTGATGGAAGTATAACAAAGGCATTGCAAGGTCTGACTGCTCTATCCAATGAGTTAGCCAGCAAGTCAGGGGTAAATGACCCCTTTACAGGATGACTAGAAAAGTGGCTTAGTAAACGGAAAGGAATAACAGCCTCAATTCTTACTTCCCTCGCAGCCGTAATGGGTGTACTTATTCTTGTTGGGTGCTGTGTCATACCATGCATCCGTGGGTTGGTGCAGAGGCTCATAGAAACAGCACTTACTAAAACCTCCCTTAATTATCCTCCACCTTATCCAGAGAAGCTTCTTTTGGAAAATCAAGCAGAACAACTAAGCCAAGACATGTTAAAGAAGTTTGAAGAGAAAGCTGTAAGGAAAATGCAAGAGGAGGGACTTATTAGATATGAATTCTACATTTCTCTTCAAAGCAGCAATATGTCAGAATGTTCAATTCTTTGCCTTCTACTTTTAAACTTAACTTCCTCGTAAAGCAACCTTTTTTGATCACCTGTTCCATCCTGACTCACTTCAATTACCTGCTTCACCCTTACCTGCTCCACCCTGACTCCCCAAACCACTCACTCAGTCACTCTCTTTAAATTAGCCAATTGGAATTAGTTTAGCCTGTGCTGTCTAACCCAAGCCAATAAGGGAACAACAGAGCAGCAGGGGCCACATGCATCAGGGATAAGAACCCCTTCCCCTCCTTTGTCCAAGTGTGTGCTCACCATTGCTCCATCTGTAAGGGTGCACCCTTCTATAGAAGTACATTGCCTTGCTGAGAATTAAAAAGAAAATTTTATATTCATGTGCTATTTCTTTTGTGGCACCGAAACTTTATTTATAAAAGTTTTGACCAATTTCTCCCATTTGGAATGGCATTATTTACCCAATGCCTAAATCCCCACTATATCTAGGAAGTAACTAACCTGCTTTTGATTTTACAGGCTCATAGGTGGAAGGGACTTGCCTTGTCTCAGATAAGACTTTCGACTGTGGACTTTTGAGTTAATGCTGAAATGAGTTAAAACTCCGGGGGACTGTTGGGAAGCCATGATTGGATTTAAGATGCGAGGGCATTAGATATGGGAGGCACCAGGGGCAGAATGGTATGGTTTGGCTGTGTCTGGCTGTGTCCCCACTCCCCACCCAAATCTCATCTTGAATTCCCACATGTTGTGGGAGGGATCTGGTGGGAGATAACTGAAATGAGGGCAAGTCTTTCCCGTGCTATTCTCATGGTAGTGAATAAGTCTCATGAGATCCATGGTTTTAAAAAGAGGAGTTCCCCTGCACAAGCTCTCCCTCTTTGACTGCTGCCATCCATGTAAGACAAGACTTGCTCCTCTTTGCCTTCCACCATGATTGTGAGGCTTTCCCAGCCATGTGGAACTGTAAGTCAGTTAAATCTCTTTCTTTCAGCAGCATGAAAACAGACTAAAACAACATGAAAACCTCTTTCAGCAGCATGAAAACACACTAAAACCATGTCCATCAACAGATGAATGGATAAAGAAAATGTTATACTGATACATAATGAAGTACATAGAAAAGCCTTAAAACAATGAGATTCTGTCATTTGCAACAACATGGACAAAACTTGAGGTCATTATGTTAAGTGAAATCAACCAGGCATGGAAAAACAAACATCACATCTTTTCACTTATTGTCCGATGTAAAAACCAAAACAATTGAATGCATGAAGATAGTGAATAGAAGGTTCATTACCAGAGGCTGCTAAGTTTTTTAGGGTTCTTTTAGTTGGTGGGGATGGTTGATGGGTACAAAAATAAGAAGAAGAAATTATACCTAATATTGATAGCACAATATAACTATAGTCAAAATAATTCCATTATACATTTTAATTAACTAAAACAGTATATTAGAATTCTTTGTAATAAAAAGGATAAATGCTTCAGGAGATAGATAACTCATTTTTCATGATGTGATTATTATACATTTCATGCCTGTATCAAAATATCTCATATACTCCATAAATACATACGTCTACTACGTACCCATGAAAATGAAAAATGAAAAATTTAGAAAGAAAATACCAAAAACTACAGAACAAACAGCTGGCAATTAATAAAATCTAACAATTTGCTGTGACACCAAATGAGACAGACAGCTTAACTGAGAAATCAGGGAAATTGACAAATACATCTCTGCTAAAGCTACTGTTATCCCATGGTACCTTTGTGTACTCAAAAGTCTGCATCCTCTGAGAAGAAACATCAGAAGAGTCACATTAAGGAAGAAGAATACTTACAATAGTTCAAGCAAGTCACTAAACAATTAAACAAGGACAAAAACAAGATACAGGGAGTAAATTTCCAGAGTTAATGAATCTATTACCTCAATTTTTGAGTTTTCAAGAAAAAAAAATTCATGACATGCAAAGAAACAGAAAGTTTGACATATACACAAGAATAAAATGAGGGAACAGAAACTATGAGAGAGCCCAGATGTCAGATTTAAAAGATAATACTTCAAGGCAACCATTACAAATATGTCCAAAGGAAAAACAGAAAACCATAATTAATGATGTAAAGGAAGCTTTCATGGCAATAGAGAATATCAATAATGAAAGAGAAATTATTAAAAAGAGCCAAATAACATTCTGGAATTGAAACTGACAGAGACTGAAATATAAATTTCGCCAGAAAAGGTTAACAGCAGATTTCAACTGGCAGACAAAAAAAATCACAAACTTGAAGAAAGAGAAAGTTTTTTAATAAGAAAAACAAGAAAAAAAAATGAAGAAAATTCAACAGGGCTTCAGACAAGCACAAGACACCATTTACCATACCAACACATGTTTAACAGGAAATCAAGAAGAGGATACGGAGAACAGAACAGAAAAAATTCAAAGAAAATAGTTGAACATTTTCTAAATTTGATTAAAAGCATAATTTTGAACATCTAAAAATTCAACAAACTCTAAGTAATATAAATGCAAAGAGATGCATACCAAGTCATCATAGCAAAAATGCTGAAATACAACAACAAAAAGAAAATCATGAAAACAGCAAGAGAAAAATGACTTGTCATGCATAAAAGAAACTCTAAGAATAAGATCTGACTTCTCATCAGAAGCAAAGGAGGCCAGAAAGAAATAAGATTACCTATTACAGCACTGATAGAAAAAACAACAGCAACAACAAAACTGTTAACCAAGAATCATAAACCCAGGGGTAAAAATGAAGGCAAAATTAAGGCATTTCCAATTAAAACAAACTGAATTTGTTGCTAGTGAACCAAGCTGACAAGATACTTAATAAAGGCAGTTTTTGAAAATGAAAAGAAAGTGATACCATGTGCTAATTCAAATCCACATGAAAAAACAAAGAGCCATGATAAAGGCAATTTTGTAACATTAAAAGACAATATAAATACGTATTTCTTCTCTCCTGAGGACTAAGCTCTGATTTTGTTTCATCTTGCCCAAATTTCTATCTAAGGTGTCTGGGGAGTCATGCTCTGTAAATGATAAATTCTCATCAGATGGATTTCATTTAACCCTATATACTGTGACTTTCTTTCCAATCTGACTCTGGCATAACATTATGTGATTAAGAAAATCAAAAGATTTTACCTCAAAACATTTTTTTTCTCCCCCATATTTTGAAATGGCCCTGCAAAGCTGTCCTAACTTTGTGGGTGAAAATTTCCATCTGTAAAGGATCTCTATTAACATAGCTAGATCTTTTTCTTCCTGGCCCTCCCAATCCTGAAGAGATTAACTGAGAGTCTAGCACTTTTTAAAGGTCTGAATAGGATACACTTGTTATCTGTTGTCTCTAAGGGCAGCTACTAAGAGACTTCAAAAAACCTTGGTCTCCACAATCTTATCTTAACCTGAACATTTCCTTTCTGTTAATACCGGACCTTTAGACAAACTCAACCAACTGTCAACCAGATAATGTTTAAATTTACCTATAGCCTGGAAGCCTCCCACTTCAAAATGTCTTGCATTTCTGAATCAAACCAATGTATTTATCAAGTGTATTTGATTGATGTCTCTTGCCTCCCTAAAATGTATAAAACCAAGTTGCACACCCACCACCTTGGACACATGTTCTCAGACCTCCTGAAGGCTGTCACAGGCCATGGTCACTCATATTTGGCTCAGAATAAATCTCTTCAAGTATTTTAGAGTTTGACTCTTTGTCAACACTCTCCTACTCTAAACTGACTTAAAAACTATTGTATAGCCAGGCGTGGTGGCTCACGCCTGTATTCCCAGCACTTTGGGAGGCTGAGGCGGGTGGATCATGAGGTCAGGAGTTCAAGACCAGCCTGGCCAAGATAGTGAAATGCCGTCTCTACTAAAAATACATAAATTAGCTGGGCGCAGTGGCAGGCACCTGTAATCCCAGATACTCAGGAGGCTGAGGCAGGAGAATTGCTTGAACCTGGGAGGTGCAGGTTGCAGTGAGCCAAGATCATGGCATTGTACTCTGGCCTGGGTGACAGAGCAAGACCCTGTCTCAAAAAAACAAAACAAAACAAAACAAAACTATTGTATACGACCGGGCGTGGTGGCTCATGCCTGTAATCCCAGCACTTTGGGAGGCTGAGGTGGTTGGATCACTTGAGGTTAGGAGTTCAAGACCAGCCTGGCCAACATGGTGAAACCCTGTCCCTACTAAAAATACAAAAATTAGCCGGGTGTGGTGGTGGACACCTGTAATCCCAGCTACTCAGGAGGCTGAGGCAGGAGAGTTGCTTGAACCCAGGAGGCAGAGGTTGCAGTGAGCCAAGATCATGCCACTATAGTCCAATAGTCCAGCCTGGGTGACAGGGCAAGACAGTCTCAAAACACAAACAAACAAACAAAAAACTATTGTGTAAAGCAATATGTATTGTATTTTGGAGAATATACAGAAAAGAAAGATATTTGAAAATAACAGCAAAAAGTTGAGTGAGGGCAAAGTTCTATTGGAATAAGTCAATTATGCCATATGGTATGGTATGGTAACTCAAACACAAAGGAACAAATAAAGATAACCAGAAATGGTGAGTAAGCAGGTTAATGTAACAAACTTTGTAAGCATAGACTTGCTCTCTTTTCTTTTCTAAGCTTCTTTGACAGACATAAAATTAAACAATCATTATAGCAATACATTGTTGGGGGTTGAAGTATATATAGATGTATTTCGTATAATTATAATAGCACAAAAAGGAGGAAGAGGAAATAGATATATAGGAGTGATATTTCTGTATTCACAAGATTGGTTTAACATTCTAAAATCAGTCAATGTATTGTACCATATTAAGAGATTAAAGGAAAAAAGAATATGATCATTTCAACAGATGCTGAAAAAGCAGTTGGCAAAGTTGCACATCCTTAAATGGTAAAAATAAACTCTTGGAAAAGAAGGAAACTAACTCAGTCTAATTATGGATATCTATGAAAAACCTACAACCAACAACATATTAAATAGTGAAAGGCTCTTTCTATGTAAGATTGAGAACAAATCTAGAACATTGGCACTTAGGATATTTATTTATCATTGCACCTGGATAAATTTCCCGAGTTGTTAATAAAGGAAGAAGAAAGAATAAAATAATACATGTTTGGAAGAATGGAGTAAAACTATTTATAGAAGACACGATCGTGTATTTAGATAACTCTAAGACTACTAGAACTAACAAATGAATATAGCAGAGTTGCAGGATGTAAGTTCACTAAATAAAAATCAATTCCATGTCTATATAACTACAACCAACAATTAAAACATAAAATTAAATATTTCGGCCAGGCGCAGTGGCTCAAGCCTGTAATCCTACCACTCTGGGAGACCAAGGTGGGCGGATCATGAAGTCAGCAGTTCGAGACCCTCCTGGCTAACATGGTGGAACCCTGTCTCTACTAAAAATACAAAGAATTAGCCGGGCTTGGTGGCGGGCACCTGTAGTCCCAGCTACTCAGGAGGCTGAGGCAGGAGAATGGCATGAACCTGGGAGGCGGAGCTTGCAGTGAGCCGAGATGGAGCCACCGCACTCCAGCCTGGGTGACAGAGTGAGACTCTGTCTCAAAAATAAATAAATAAATAAATAAATAAATAAATAAATAAATAAATGTTTCATTAACAATAGCATAACAAATATTTAGAAATAAATCAAATGAAAATATGGAAAACTTATAAACTAGAAACTGCAAAACATTCCAAGAAAAAAAAGTACTAAATAAATGGAGATACATATCATATTCTTGGATTAGAAGACTCAGTGTAATTAAGAGGTTAACTCACCCACCTCAGTTGATAAAGGAATTCAACGCAACCCCAATCAAAACCCAAAAAAGTTTTTTTTAGAATAAATTGGAAGGTTCAATTTAAAAGTTATGTAGATATGACCTGGCAATTCCTTTGCAGAGTATACACTGAAAGACAAATCAGGATTTTGTAGATGCATCTGTTTTTTCATGTTCATTTCAGCATTATTCAAAATTGCCAAGATGTAGAAACAAAGCGTATATCTACAGATGAATGAATAAGGAAGTTGTGGTATATAAATATATAATTAAATATTATATGTTTATATATTTAAAAATCCTGCCATTTGCAAAAATATGGATGAACCTGGAGGAAATTATGCTATATGAAACAAGCCACCTACAGAAAAATACTGCAAGATGTAATTTATATGTAGAATCTTTAAAAAGTCAAATATATAGACACAGAATAAAATGGTGGTTACCAGAAATGGGGGGCAGAAGGAAGAGTCGGGAGATGTAGGTCAAAGTGTGCAAACTTGCACATATGTAGGATGGATAAGTCTTGAGATCTAATATACAAAATAAGTACTATAGTTATAATATTGTGCTGTATACTTGAAATTTGCTGAGAGTACACTTTTGGTGCTCTTAACACATACATACATAAAAGGTAACTATGCAAGATGATGGGCATGTTAATGTGCTTGACTATAGTAACCATTTCACTACGTATATAAAAACATTATGTTGTATATCTCAAATATACACAATAAATATGAAAAAGAACACAAATAAAAAATGTTATATAGAAAGTCAAAAGACAGAATATCTAAACAACTTCAAAAAAGAACAAAGTTAAATGATTTATACTACATATTCTAAAAACTATTATAAAGACTTTCTATGAGGCTACAGGATTAAAGACAATGTGGGTTTTTTTGGTAAGAACAAACGTATTGATCAATGAGATGGAAAAGAGAGGGCCAACATAAACTCAAACCAATTAGATCAATTAATCGTTGATAAAGTTTTCAACAACACTCAATAGAGATAAGACAGACTTTTCAACAAATGGTGTGTTGCAGAAATTAGATATCTGTATGGAAAAAAGAATCTCATCTTTAATTCACACCATACATAAAAGCTCAAAATGGATTATAATGCGAAGTGTAAGAAGGAATATTATTAAATTTCTATCAGAAAATATACAATAAATTATTTGTGATATTAGGTCAAAAATTTTTAATATAATATCAAAAGCAAAAATAATAAGATAACAATTTGATTAGATGGACTTTTTCAAGATTACAAAAATGATATTTGAAAGATACTGCTAAGAAAACTAAAACAATATTGAAGATATAGAATACTCTTTCACGGGAGGGAAATTACTATGACTACCAAAAGTTATAGTAATTACTAAGTGTGATAGTGGCTTAAGAAATCATATGGATAAGTGTTGAATAGAACTGGGAGCCGATGTATTATACTCAATTACTTTTAAAAATATGCATGCTTATTTCATATAACAAAACCACATGTATACTACATGGATTAAAAAGTTGAATTTTGGCCAGGCGCAGTGGCTTACGCCTGCAATCCCAGAACTTTGGGAGGCTGAGGTGGGTGGATCATGACGTCAGGAGATGGAGACCATCCTGGCTAACACAGTGAAACCCCGTCTCTACTAAAAATACAAAAAATTAGCCAGGCATGGTGGTGTGTGCCTGTAGTCCCAGCTACTCGGGAGGCTGAGGCAGGAGAATTGCTTGAACCCGGGAGGTGGAGGTTGCAGTGAGCTGAGATGGTGCCACTGCACTCCAGTCTGGGTGACAGAGTGAGACTATGTCTCGAAAACAAAAAAAAGTTGAATTTCATACATATTATGAAGCCAATATATAGTTTATTCTGGATGAATATCCAGGACTTCATATCCATAAATCAAACCAGATTAAAAAATGTGCACAGGATATTTCTAGAGAAATTAAAAACACATGGATACTCAAAACCACATTTTAGCTTCTCACAGGGACGTACCTTCTTATGCAAACATGCAAAATATTTTAGAATATTAATTTAACAAGAAGTTTACATACGTTGAGGAAGGGATATGAAATGTAGATGGTTTCCCTACAGGTTGTCTAGGTTCAGTAGTTACAGTGAGATAACAGCATACCCATCATTTAAAAAATTAAAACAAAAAATCATGCTTTCAAGCTACGAAAACGAATTTACATCATTCATTTCTCTTAAATCATGATCAAGTCACTTAGTTCTACATCCAACAATGGCTCCACACTTTAAAACAATAATTAAAATTTGTTCATGCTAATATAAAGAATAGTAAAAAAAATTAACATCCAATATTAACATCGACTTTATGCTTCTTAATCTTTTAGGTAGAGTGCTTAGATAAAATCTGTAGACTAATAATAAAAAAATGCAGTTCACTCTTGATCAAAGCATGGGTTAGGGGCACTGACTCCTTGTACAGTCAAAAATCTGTGTATAACTGTTGACTCCCTGCCAACTTAACTGCTAATAGCCTACTGTTAACCAGAAGCCTTACTAATAACATAAAAGGTCGATTAACACATATTTTGTATATGTATATACTGCATTCTTACAATAAAGTAAGAAAAGTAAATATATACTATTCATTAAGTGGAAGTGTATCATCATAAAGGTCTTCATCCTCATCACCTTCATGTTGGGTAGGCTGAGGAGGAGGAGGAAGAGAAGGGGTTGGTCTTGGCTGTCTTAAAGATGGCAGGCATGGAAGAAAATTGACGTGTAAGTGGACTCACGCATTTCAAACTTGGGTTCTTCAAGAGTCAACTGTAGATTTATATAAACTTATTTTTTAATTTATATCAGAATGTATTAGGTTTGAAGAAATTTACAAAATAATTTTATAACCTAAAAAATTATTAAGACACATAATGTCTACATAATCATACAATCCATTTCCACTAAAAGCATACTTTTCCTTTTTTTGAGATGTAGTCTCACTCTGTCACCCAGGCTGGAGTGCAGTGGTGCCATCTCGGCTCACTGCAACCACTGCTTCCTGGGTTCAAGCAATTCTCTTGCTTCAGCCTCCCAAGTAGCTGGGATTACAGGCGTATGCCACCACGTCTGGCTAATTTTTGTATTTTTAGTAGAGACGGGGTTTTGCCATGTTGGCCAGGCTGGTCTCGAACTCCTGGCCTCAACTGGTCCTCCCTTTGCCTCAGCCTCCCAAAGTGCTGGGATTACAGGCGTGAGCCACCACACCCAGCCAAGCATACATGTTAATGGCAGTTATTTTCTATTAAGACCATACAAATCCACACAATGGGAGCCTAGGCAAAGTCCTTGTATCTCCTGATAGCTAACCCTCACTATTCCATTACTTGCCTTTAATACCTAAGTCCTCAAGCATGCCTGTAGTCTAGGTGGAACATGACAAAACTATAGTTGTTAAATAAAATCTAGATAGTTACAGTGGATAAAAACAGGTATGGAGAATCTTTATAAAAATATTAAATTAATCATTAATGGAGTCCCATTTTATTAAACATGTAAAAAATTGAAAATTTTCATTAAAAATCAAGATAATATGCTTTTATTAAAGGTAAACTTAAGAGTAGAATTTATCTTATCAACAGTCGGCAATTTGTTTATATTATTTTATGAACATCCAAGCATTTCCTGCCTGTTAGGAGGTAAAAATTGCACTTCAACATAGCAATACTTGTAAAGTTAATAATAGTAGCACCCCTTATGGCTGTATTAATAGAGTAGCTGTAATAGTAACAAGCATCATTTGGTGAATGGTTATACATCTTTTGGGCAAGAACTTGGACATTGTTATGGGTAGACATCAGGAACAACCAATAACTAAATAAACATTAATAATTCTATAGCCCTGATTTTTTATGAGGAGTAAATGAGGTAATGTAAAAATATATTGGGAGACTGCAAAACAACACAGAAGCAAGAACATTACTGTCATCACTAGAGTCAATATATATACGTTCCTAAACCCATTTAATTAAGATATGGTAATTTCCTATTTGTTAACTCCTTACTTGACTACCAATAAGAAAGTTCTTTTAGGACATTCTCAGACTAGATAAAAATAATCCAAAAATAGTAATATTTAAACAAAATACTTTAATATTTTGGGTTATTTTTATCTAGCCTGAGAAATTCCTTCCACTTTCATTCTACCAAAATGTCTTCAAATGGTAATGACTCAGGAGGACACAGTGCCGACACAGGATGGGCAGAAAGCAAAGTTCTCCAAATCTTCAGATTTACCACCCAGTTCTCAGAATAAAAGCGAGCCTACACTGTAACAGAAAACCTGAAAAGGACTTAGGGGAATGTAATTCATTCATGAAATGTTATTAGCAAGAAATTATCAGTGTTTTAATTTTTAGCCAGTGATGCCTACTTTACCATTTATCAAATTAAATAATTTTGAATGTACTTTTTAATAGATAATTTAGGTAAAGCATTCTTCACTAAAAAAGGCAAAACTTTCAAAATAAAAATAAAACAAAGCAAAGGAGAAAAGGAACTCAGGTACTATCCACCTAACTTGCTATTCCATGATAAAGCAGTTCCTAACAGGTCAATGGGTTCAGAAAGTTTATTGAATTCTAATTCATTAAACCGTTGAATGCAATCATCCAACTAAATGAGCTAAAAAATAATGAAAGCTGAGAGGGAAGTGAGTTGGCAAAACTAGGCATGTTACCTGTCTACCTGCAATAATCAGCAAAGATGATGGAGATGTGAATTTAATTAACATAAAAAGAAAAGGAGATGCTAGGAATAAATTTATAACATCTATTCTACATATCTACAAAGAACATAGCATGACTTTCCTGAAGTAAACAAAAACTATGTCATGCTCCCACGTCAAAAGATGACTGAGTTCGATTCTGTAAAGATTTTCAGTGTGCACACATTTCCTCATTGCAAAAGCAAAGTCAGAAAGATAAATGTTACACTTAGGGAAATCCGACAAAGCAATGATATTTTTAATGCCTAAATGTAAATTAAATAGATTATCAAGGAAAATTCTCAACAAGGAAGAATAAGAAGTATCATTCAAAGTTAGAAAATTAACACGTGGAGTGCTATGGTCTGAATTTTATGTTTTACGTACAATTCGTGTGTTGAAACCTAAGAACCAATGTGATGGCATTAAGAGGTGGAGTTATTAGGCAAATTATTAGGTCATAAAGGTGGACCCTGCATGAATAGGATTAGTGCCCTTATAAAAGAAGCCCCAGAGAGCAGCCTTGTCCCTTCTGCCATGTGAAGTTACAGCAAGAAGATGGGCTCTTGACAGACAATGAATCTGCTGTTGTCTTGATCTTGGACTTCCCGGCCTCCAGAACTGTAAGAAATAAATATCTGTTTATAAACTTCCTGGTGTATGGTATTTGTTTATAGTAGCAAGAATGGATTAAGTCACGGCTTTACTTCCCCAAAAAACTCAAAAAGTCTGCTAGGAAATAATTATGTGTTGCCATGATATATGGGAAAACACATAAATAGTTAAAAATATCTATCCCTAGTTTATATCACTAATCCTAAATTAAACCCCACTAAGTAGTGAAATTTTGAAACTTAAACTAGAAAAAGCATTTCATGAGGAAAGATGTCAATGTTTTCACATTTGTTATATGATATATATGTATACATCTTTCATATTATGCAGAACTCAGTGAATGTTCCCATTTGTTGGACAATGAAGGCATATTACACGTATCAGCTTCTCTAATAGTGACTTAGTGTAGATATTACACTATGGTTTCAGAAAAACAGAACCAATCAGTGGTGCGTGTATGAAGAGAGAAGGCGGAAAGAAAGAGAGGGAAAGAGGCGAGGGAAAGGGCAGGGGAGAGAAAGAGAGAGAGACTCAGAGAGACAAGGGATTTATTCTAAGGAACTGGCTCACAGAGTTGTTGGAGCAAGCAAGTTCAATCTCTACAGAAAAGGTTGGCAGGCTGAAGATCATAGAAGGCTTGATTTGGCAACTCAAGTCTAAAAGGCAGCCTGGTAGTAGAATTCCTTCTTCCTTTGGGGACCTCAGTCTTTTCCTCTTAAGGCCTTCAACTCACTGGATGAGGCCCATCCATATTATAAATGATAATCTGCTTTATGTGAAGTCTACTTATTTAAATATTAATCTCACGTAAAATTTACCTTCACAACAACAACATGACTGGTGTTTGATCAAAACTGGGTATCATAGCTTAGCCAAGTTGACACATACAATTAAGCTTCACATACATGTTTGTTTAAAATGAGAAACTGGATTTAAATATTAACGTACCATTGAGTGAATGCTGTTAAAAATATATATGGAATATAAAAATTTGTCTGTATATATCTCTTGGATTCACCGGTTATTGTGAGGAAAAACTAAATTTATAATTAAAAACTAATTTAAAAAATATCCCAAATTCTTTCTCTGAGGTCACAGTTAAGTCTCTTAACCACACTCTCACCAATGCTTCCCACCTGTATGAAAATTATCAGTTTTAATTGAGTAAAACTGTAATTATTAAGCATTAATAATGACTTAATGTTAACTTATCTACCAGTCTGGGTATTTATATCATATTCAAGGATTAAATTCATCTTCGATATACCAGGTCTTATAAAATTGTTACTATCTATATATGATAGATTTGTTATTAATATAGGCAAAGAGATATATGTTAATTTTTTTTGTAACCTAGATTCTGACAGACACACTAGTGATTATATTCACATACCACTTACATCCATCGCTGTATAGGCAAATTCCTCACAAGCAAATGAAGCCCTGCATTTAAGTGAAAATTAATTTCATTCACGCTAGGGAGTCTGGGAGCTAGGTGATTAGGAGACTCAAACATATCAACTTGAAGCAACCTTGTTCCACATGATGCAAAGAGAATGTTGCTTATTTTACAACTTTGAATTCACAACATCACATGCATTCCCCAACTAGTGAAATTCAACAGAGTGACCTTATAAAAGGAGATAATGAATTTCTGGAATACTAGAAACCAAACCGTACGGTCACCATAAAAAGCAATTATTCAAAGAGTATCATCATGTATGACAAAGAGATGGTGAGTTCAAAGCAACTGAATGAGCTGATGAAACCCTGCAGTATCATTTGAAATTGCAGCTGAACTATTAGAAGCCATTAACCTCTGCATTCCCCAGTGTGTCTTCTTAGAACTTCAAGATTTGAATTGAATGAAAACAAACATGTCTATCTAAGCAGGGATATACATAAAATGTCATACAGAACGAGCAAATTAAAAAATAAAGATAATACATATTCAATAAGTATATGAAACAAAATTGAATCACCACATCCTGGAAATTACAGTTGAACATGAATCTCTATATATTCTTGCCACATGACAAATAAAGCTGTGTGGCAAAAACTTACCATATCTTTTCCAGATATCTACAAGGAAAGCTGGAAATTTTTCCTGCAAAACCCCAAACCTGGATTGGTCATCTAATTCTATTATTAGAAGAGGAAGAAGATCATTTAGGGAAATTATTTTCTTTCAGTTGAGATTAACCCCCAGTGGTCCACTGGCTACCCTTAGAGTCTAAAGGTCTTGAGGAC